>NW_009646198.1:43496-305979 GCF_000001405.40 Homo sapiens | reverse complement strand
GACTCTCTTTTTGTGGAATTTGCAAGTGGAGATTTCACAGCTTTGAGGCCAATGGTAGAAAAGGAAATATCTTCGTATGCAAACTAGACAGAATCATTCTCAGAAACTACTTTGGTACGTGTGTGTTCAACTCACAGTGTTTAACCTTTCTTTTCATAGAGCAGTTTGGAAACACTCAGTTTGTAAAGTCAGCAACTGGATATTTGGATGTATTTGAGGCCTTCGTTGGAAACGGGATTTCTTCATATAATGCTAGACAGAAGAATTCTCAGTAACTTCTTTGGGTTGTGGGTATTCAACTCACAGAGTTGAAGCTTCCTTTAGGCGGAGCAGATTGGAAACACTTTTTGTGGAATTTTCAGGGGGAGACTTCAAGCGCTTTGAAGTGAATGGTAGAAAAGGAAATATCTTCGTATAAAAACTAGACGCAGTCATTCTCAGAAACTACTTTGCGATGTTTGCGTTCAACTCACAGAGTTTAACGTTTCTTTTCATAGAGCAGTTTGGAAACACTCTTTTTGCAGAATCTGCAAGTGGATATTTGGACCTCTTTGTGGCCTTCGTTGGAAACGGGATTTTTCATATAATGCTAGACAGAAGAATTCTCAGTAACTTCTTTTTGTGGTGTGTATTCAACTCACAGAGTTGAACCTTCCTTTAGACAGAGCAGATTTGAAACACTCTTTTTGTGGAATTTGCAAGTGGAAATTTCTAGCAGTATGAGGCCAATGGTACAAAAGGAAATATCTTCGTATAAAAACTAGACGGTATCATTCTCAGAAACTACTTTGGGATGTGTGCGTTCAACTCACAGTGTTTAACACTTCTTTTCATAGAGCACTTTGGAAACACTCAGTTTGTAAGGTTTGCAACTGGATATTTGGACCTCTTTGAGGCCTTCGCAGTAAACGGGATTTCTTCGTGTAATGATAGACAGTAGAATTCTCAGTGAATTTTTTTTGTGTGTGTGTATTCAACTCACAGGGTTGAACTTTCCTTTAGACAGTGCAGATTTGAAACACTTTTTGTGGAATTTGCAAGGGGAGATTTCAAGCACCTTGAGGCCAGTGGTGGAAAAGGAAATATGTTCGTATAAAAACTAGACAGAATCATTCTCAGGAACTACTTTGTGATATGTGCATTCAACTCACAGAGTTTAACCTTTCTTTTCATAGAGGAGTTTGGAAACACTCAGTTTGTAATTCTGCAACTGGATATTTGGACCTCTTTGAGGCTTTCGTTGGAAACGGGATTTCTTCACATAATTCTAGACAGAAGAATTTTAAGTAACTTCTTATGGGTTGTGTGTATTCAACTCAGAGAGTTGAACCTTCCTTTAGACAGAGCAGATTGGAAACCCTCTTTTTGCCGAATTTTCAGGTGGAGATTTCAAGAGCCTTGTGGCCAATGGTAGAAAAGGCTATCTTCGTATAAAAACTAGACGGAATCATTCTCAGAAACTGCTTTGTGATGTGTGTATTAAACTCACAGAGTTGAACATTTCTTTTCCTAGAGCAGTTTGGAAAGACTTAGTTTGTGTAGTGTGCAAGAGGATATTTGGAACTCTTTGAGGTCTTCTTTGGAAACGGGATTTCTTCTTATAATTCTTGACAAAAGAATTCTCAGTAGCTTCTTTGTGTGTGTGTACTCAACTCACAGAGTTGAACCTTCCTTTAGACAGAGCAGATTGGAAACACTCTTTTTGTGGAATTTGCAAGTGGAAATTTCTAGCAGTATGAGGCCAATGGTACAAAAGGAAATATCTTCGTATAAAAACTAGACAGTATCATTCTCAGAAACTACTTTGGGATGTGTGCGTTCAACTCACAGTGTTTAACACTTTCTTTTCATAGAGCACTTTGGAAACACTCAGTTTGTGAAGGTCTGCAAGTGGATATTTGAACCTCTTTGAGGCCTTCGCTGGAAACGGGATTTCTTCGCGTAATGATATACAGTAGAATTCTCAGTGAATTTTTTTTGTTGTGTGTGTATTCAACTCACAGGTTGAACCTTACTTTGGAAAGAGCAGTTTTCTAACACTGTTTTTGTAAAATTTCCAAGTGAATACTTTGAGTGCTTTGAAGCCTATGGTAGACAACGAAATATCTTCATGTAAAAACTACAAAGAATCATTCGCAGAAACCACGTTGTGATCTCTGCATTCAACTCACAGAGTTGAACCTTTCTTCCTATAGAGCAGCTATGAAACAGTCTCTTTGTAGAATTTGCAAGGGTGTATTTAGAGGGCATTGAAGCCTACGGTAGAAAAGGAAATATCTTACCATAAAATCTACTCAGAAGCATTCTCAGAAACTGAGTTGTGATGTTTGCATTCAACTCACAGAGTTCAACATTCCTTTTAATGGAGCGGTTTTGAAACACTCTTTTTGCAGAATCTGCAAGTGGATATTTGGACCTCTTTGAGGCCTTCGTTGGAAACGGGATTTCTTCATGTAATGCCAGACAGAAGAATTCTCAGTGAATTCTTTCTGTGTGTGTGTATTCAACTCACAGAGTTGAACGTTCCTTTAGACAGAGTAGATTGGAAACACTCTTTTTGTGGAATTTTCAGGTGGAGGTATCAAGCGCTTTGAGGCCAATGATAGAAAAGGAAATACCTTCGTATAATAATTAGACGGAATCATTCTCAGAAACTGCTTTGCAATGTGTGCGTTCAACTCACAGTGTTTAACCTTTCTTTTCATACAGTTGTTTCGAAACACTCTTTTTGCAGAATCTGCAAGTGGATATTTGGACCTCTTTGAAGTCTTCGTTGGAAATGGGATTTCTTCATATAATGCTAGACAGAAGACTTCTCAGTAACTGCTTTTTCTGGTGTGTATTCAACTCTCAGAGTTGAACTTTCCTTTAGAAACAGCAGAGTTGAAACTCTCTTTTTGTGGAATTTGCAAGTGGAGATTTCAAAGCTTTGAGGCCAATGGTAGAAAAGGAAATATCTTCGTATGCAAACTAGACAGAATCATTCTCAGAAACTACTTTGGTACGTGTGTGTTCAACTCACAGTGTTTAACCTTTCTTTTCATAGAGCAGTTTGGAAACACTCAGTTTGTAAAGTCAGCAACTGGATATTTGGATGTATTTGAGGCCTTCGTTGGAAACGGGATTTCTTCATATAATGCTAGACAGAAGAATTCTCAGTAACTTCTTAGGGTTGTGGGTATTCAACTCACAGAGTTGAAGCTTCCTTTAGGCGGAGCAGATTGGAAACACTTTTTGTGGAATTTTCAGGGGGAGACTTCAAGCGCTTTGAAGTGAATGGTAGAAAAGGAAATATCTTCGTATAAAAACTAGACGGAGTCATTCTCAGAAACTACTTTGTGATGTTTGCATTCAACTCACAGAGTTTAACGTTTCTTTTCATAGAGCAGTTTGGAAACACTCTTTTTGCAGAATCTGCAAGTGGATATTTGGACCTCTTTGTGGCCTTCGTTGGAAACGGGATTTTTCATATAATGCTAGACAGAAGAATTCTCAGTAACTTCTTTTTGTGGTGTGTATTCAACTCACAGAGTTCAACTTTCCTTTAGACAGAGCAGATTTGAAACTCTCTTTTTGTGGAATTTGCAAGTGGAGATTTCAAGCGCTTTGAGGTCAATGGTAGAAAAGGAAATATCTTCGTAGAAAAAATAGACGGAATCATTCTCAGAAACTGCTTTGGGATGTGTGCATTGAACTCACAGTGTTTAACACTTCTTTTCATAGAGCACTTTGGAAACACTCAGTTTGTAATGTCTGCAGCTGGATATTTGGACCTCTTTGAGGCCTTCGTAGTAAACGGGATTTCTTCGTGTAATGATAGACAATAGAATTCTGAGTGAATTTTTTTCTGTGTGTGTGTATTCAACTCACAGGGTTGAACCTTCCTTTAGACAGTGCAGATTTGAAACACTTGTCTGTGGAATTTGCAAGGGGAGATTTCAAGCACTTTGAGGCCATTGGTGGAAAAGGAAATATCTTCGTATAAAAACTAGACAGAATCATTCTCAGGAACTACTTTGTGATATGTGCATTCAACTCACAGAGTTTAACCTTTCTTTTCATAGATGAGTTTGGAAACAGTCAGTTTGTAAATTCTGCAACTGGATATTTGGACCTCTGTGAGGCTTTCGTTGGAAACGGGATTTCTTCACATAATGCTAGACAGAAGAATTCTCAGTAACTTCTTTTGGGATGTATGTATTCAACTCAGAGAGTTGAACCTTCCTTTAGACAGAGCAGATTGAAAACACGCTTTTTGCGGAATTTTCAGGTGGAGATTTCAAGAGCCTTGAGGCCCATGGTAGAAAAGGCTATCTTCGTATAAAAACTAGACGGAATCATTCTCAGAAACTGCTTTGTGATGTGTGTATTAAACTCACAGAGTTGAACATTTCTTTTCCTAGAGCAGTTTGGAAAGACTTAGTTTGTGTAGTGTGCAAGTGGATATTTGGAACTCTTTGAGGCCTTCTTTGGAAACGGGATTTCTTCTTATAATTCTTGACAAAAGAATTCTCAGTAGCTTCTTTGTGTGTGTGTACTCAACTCACAGAGTTGAACCTTCCTTTAGACAGAGCAGATTGGAAACACTCTTTTTGTGGAATTTGCAAGTGGAAAATTCTAGCAGTATGAGGCCAATGGTACAAAAGGGAATATCTTCGTATAAAAACTAGACAGTATCATTCTCAGAAACTACTTTGGGATGTGTGCATTCAACTCACAGTGTTTAACACTTCTTTTCATAGAGCACTTTGGAAACACTCTGTTTGTAAGGTTTGCAACTGGATATTTGTACCTCTTTGAGGCATTCGCAGTAAACGGGATTTCTTCGTGTAATGATAGACAGTAGAATTCTCAGTGAATTTTTTTTTGTGTGTGTATTCAACTCACAGGGTTGAACTTTCCTTTAGACAGTGCAGATTTGAAACACTTTTTGTGGAATTTGCAAGGGGAGATTTCAAGCACCTTGAGGCCAGTGGTGGAAAAGGAAATATGTTCGTATAAAAACTAGACAGAATCATTCTCAGGAACTACTTTGTGATATGTGCATTCAACTCACAGAGTTTAACCTTTCTTTTCATAGAGGAGTTTGGAAACACTCAGTTTGTAATTCTGCAACTGGATATTTGGACCTCTTTGAGGCTTTCGTTGGAAACGGGATTTCTTCACATAATTCTAGACAGAAGAATTCTAAGTAACTTCTTATGGGTTGTGTGTATTCAACTCAGAGAGTTGAACCTTCCTTTAGACAGAGCAGATTGGAAACCCTCTTTTTGCCGAATTTTCAGGTGGAGATTTCAAGAGCTTTGAGGCCAATGGTAGAAAAGGCTATCTTCGTATAAAAACTAGACGGAATCATTCTCAGAAACTGCTTTGTGATGTGTGCATTAAACTCACAGAGTTGAACATTTCTTTTTCATAGAGCAGTTTGGAAAGACTTAGTTTGTACAGTCTGCAAGTGGATATTTGGAACTCTTTGAGGCCTTCGTTGGAAACGGGATTTCTTATAATTCTTGACAAAAGAATTCTCAGTAGCTTCTTTGTGTGTGTGTATTCAACTCACAGAGTTGAACCTTCCTTTAGACAGAGCAGATTGGAAACACCCTTTTGGTGGAATTTGCAAGTGGAGAATTCTACGATTTGAGGTCAATGGTAGAAAAGGAAATATCTTCGTATAAAAACTAAACAGTATCATTCTCAGAAACTATTTTGTGATGTGTGTGTTCAACTCAGAGTTTAACCTTTCTTTTCATAGAGCAGTTTGGAAACACTCTGTTTATGAAGTCTGCAAGTGGATATTTGAACGTCTTTGAGGCCTTCGTTGGAAACGGGATTTCTTCATATAAACCAGGACAGAAGAATTCTCAGAAACTTCTTCTTTGTTATGTGTGCATTCAACTCACAGAGTTGAACCTTACTTTGGAAAGAGCAGTTTTCTAACACTCTTTTTGTAAAACTTCCAAGTGCATACTTTGAGTGCTTTGAAGCCTACGGTAGACAACGAAATATCTGCATGTAAAAACTACAAAGAATCATTCGCAGAAACCACGTTGTGATCTGTGCACTCAACTCACAGAGTTCAACCTTTCTTTCTATAGAGCAGTTATGAAACACTCTCTTTTTGGAATTTGCAAGGGTGTATTTAGAGGGCACTGAAGCCTACGATAGAAAAGGAAATATCTGACCATAAAAACTAGACAGAAGCATTCTCAGAAACTGAGTTGTGATGTTTGCGTTCAACTCACAGAGTTCAACATTCCTTTTAATAGAGCGGTTTTGAAACACTCTATTTGCAGAATCTGCAAGTGGACATTTGGACCTCTTTGAGGCCTTCGTTGGAAACGGGATTTCTTCATGTAAATGCCAGACAGAAGAATTCTCAGTGAATTCTTTCTGTGTGTGTGTATTCAACTCACCGAGTTGAACGTTCCTTTAGACAGAGTAGATTGGAAACACTCTTTTTGTGGAATTTTCAGGTGGAGATATCAAGCGCTTTGAGGCCAATGATAGAAAAGGAAATACCTTCGTATAATAATTAGACGGAATCATTCTCAGAAACTGCTTTGCAATGTGTGCGTTGAACTCACAGAGTTTAACTTTCTTTTCATACAGTTGTTTCGAAACACTCTTTTTGCAGAATCTTCAAGTGGATATTTTTTTGGACTTCTTTGAAGTCTTCGTTGGAAACGGGATTTCTTCATATAATGCTGGACAGAAGAATTCTCAGTAACTGCTTTTTCTGGTTTGTATTCAACTCACAGAGTTGAACCTTCCTTTAGACAGAGCAGATTTGAAACTCTCTTTTTGTGGTATTTGCAAGTGGAGAATTCAAGTGCTTTGAGGCCAACGGTAGAAAAGGGAATATCTTCGTAGAAAAAATAGATGGAATCATTCTCAGAAACTGCTTTGTGATGTGTGCATTGAACTCACAGTGTTTAACACTTCTTTTCATAGAGCACTTTGGAAACACTCAGTTTGTATTGTCTGCAACTGGATATTTGGACCTCTTTGATGCATTTGTGGTAAACGGGATTTCTTCGTGTAATGATAGACAGTAGTATTCTCAGTGAATTTTTTTTTTTTGTGTGTATTCAACTCACAGGGTTGAACCTTCCCTTAGACAGTGCAGATTTGAAACACTTTTGTGGAATTTGCAAGGGGAGATTTCAAGCACCTTGAGGGCAGTGGTGGAAAAGGAAATATCTTCGTATAAAAACTAGACAGAATCATTCTCAGGAACTACTTTGTGATACGTGCATTCAACTCACAGTTTAACCTTTCTTTTCATAGATGAGTTTAGAAACAGTCAGTTTGTAAATTCTGCAACTGGATATTTGGACCTCTTTGAGGCTTTCGTTGGAAACGGGATTTCTTCACATAATGCTAGACAGAAGAATTCTCAGTAACTTCTTATGGGTTGTGTGTATTTAACTCAGAGAGTTGAACCTTCCTTTAGACAGAGCAGATTGGAAACACGCTTTTTGCAGAATTTTCAGGTGGAGATTTCAAGAGCTTTGAGGCCAATGGTAGAAAAGGCTATGTTCGTATAAAAACTAGACGGAATCATTCTCAGAAACTGCTTTGTGATGTGTGCATTAAACTCACAGAGCTGAACATTTCTTTTCATAGAGCAGTTTGGAAAGACTTAGTTTGTACAGTCTGCAAGTGGATATTTGGAACTTTTTGAGACCTTCGTTGGAAATGGGATTTCTTCTTATAATTCTTGACAAAAGAATTCTCAGTAGCTTCTTTGTGTGTGTGTGTATTCAACTCACAGAGTTGAACCTTCCTTTAGACAGAGCAGATTGGAAACACTCTTTTTGTGGAATTTGCAAGTGGAGAATTCTAGCGATTTGAGGCCAATGGTACAAAAGGAAATATCTTCGTATAAAAACTAGACAGTATCATTCTCAGAAACTACTTTGTGATGTGTGCGTTCAACTCACAGTGTTTACCCTTTCTTTTCATAGAGCAGTTTGGAAACACTCTGTTTGTGAAGTCTGCAAGTGGATATTTAAACGTCTTTGAGGCCTTCGTTGGAAACGGGATTTCTTTATATAAACCAGGACAGAAGAATTCTCAGAAACTTCTTGTTTGTTATGTGTGCATTCAACTCACAGAGTTGAACCTTACTTTGGAAAGAGCAGTTTTCTAACACTCTTTTTGTAAAAGTTCCAAGTGAATACTTTGAGTGCTTTGAAGCCTACGGTAGACAACGAAATATCTTCATGTAAAAACTACAAAGAATCATTCACAGAAACCACGTTGTGATCTCTGCATTCAACTCACAGAGTTGAACCTTTCTTCCTATAGAGCAGTTATGAAACACTCTCTTTGTAGAATTTGCAAGGGTGTATTTAGAGGGCGTTGAAGCCTACGGTAGAAAAAGAAATATCTTACCATAAAAACTAGACAGAAGCATTCTCAGAAACTGAGTTGTGATGTTTGCGTTCAACTCACAGAGTTCAACATTCCTTTTAATAGAGCGGTTTTGAAACACTCTATTTGCAGAATCTGCAAGTGGATATTTGGACCTCTTTGAGGCCTTCGTTGGAAACGGGATTTCTTCATGTAAATGCCAGACAGAAGAATTCTCAGTGAATTCTTTCTGTGTGTGTGTATTCAACTCACCGAGTTGAACGTTCCTTTAGACAGAGTAGATTGGAAACACTCTTTTTGTGGAATTTTCAGGTGGAGGTATCAAGCGCTTTGAGGCCAATGATAGAAAAGGAAATACCTTTGTATAATAATTAGACGGAATCATTCTCAGAAACTGCTTTGCAATGTGTGCGTTCAACTCACAGTGTTTAACCTTTCTTTTCATACAGTTGTTTCGAAACACTCTTTTTGCAGAATCTTCAAGTGGATATTTGGACCTCTTTGAAGTCTTCGTTGGAAATGGGATTTCTTCATATAATGCTAGACAGAAGACTTCTCAGTAACTGCTTTTTCTGGTGTGTATTCAACTCTCAGAGTTGAACCTTCCTTTAGAAACAGCAGATTTGAAACTCTCTTTTTGTGGTATTTGCAAGTGGAGAATTCAAGTGCTTTGAGGCCAACGGTAGAAAAGGAAATATCTTCGTAGAAAAAATAGACGGAATCATTCTCAGAAACTGCTTTGTGATGTGTGCATTGAACTCACAGTGTTTAACACTTCTTTTCATAGAGCACTTTGGAAACACTCAGTTTGTATTGTCTGCAACTGGATATTTGGACCTCTTTGAGGCATTCGTGGTAAACGGGATTTCTTCGTGTAATGATAGACAATAGAATTCTCAGTGAATTTTTTTCTGTGTGTGTGTATTCAACTCACAGGGTTGAACCTTCCTTTAGACAGTGCAGATTTGAAACACTTGTCTGTGGAATTTGCAAGGGGAGATTTCAAGCACTTTGAGGCCATTGGTGGAAAAGGGAATATCTTCGTATAAAAACTAGACAGAATCATTCTCAGGAACTACTTTGTGATATGTGCATTCAACTCACAGAGTTTAACCTTTCTTTTCATAGATGAGTTTGGAAACAGTCAGTTTGTGAATTCTGCAACTGGATATTTGGACCTCTTTGAGGCTTTCGTTGGAAACGGGATTTCTTCACATAATGCTAGACAGAAGAATTCTCAGTAACTTCTTTTGGGATGTATGTATTCAACTCAGAGAGTTGAACCTTCCTTTAGACAGAGCAGATTGGAAACCCTCTTTTTGCCGAATTTTCAGGTGGAGATTTCAAGAGCTTTGAGGCCAATGGTAGAAAAGGCTATCTTCGTATAAAAACTAGACGGAATCATTCTCAGAAACTGCTTTGTGATGTGTGTATTAAACTCACAGAGTTGAACATTTCTTTTCATAGAACTGTTTGGAAAGACTTAGTTTGTACAGTGTGCAAGTGTATACTTGGAACTCTTTGAGGCTTTCGTTGGAAACGGGATTTCTTATAATTCTTGACAAAAGAATTCTCAGTAGCTTCTTTGTGTGTGTGTACTCAACTCACAGAGTTGAACCTTCCTTTAGACAGAGCAGATTGGAAACACTCTTTTTGTGGAATTTGCAAGTGGAGAATTCTAGCGATTTGAGGTCAATGGTAGAAAAGGAAATATCTTCGTATAAAAACTAGACAGTATCATTCTCAGAAACTACTTTGTGATGTGTGTTCAACTCACAGAGTTTAACCTTTCTTTTCATAGAGCAGTTTGGAAGCACTCTGTTTGTGAAGTCTGGAAGTGGATATTTGAACGTCTTTGAGGCCTTCGGTGGAAACGGGATTTCTTCATATAAACCAGGACAGAAGAATTCTCAGAAACTTCTTGTTTGTTATGTGTGCATTCAACTCACAGAGTTGAACCTTACTTTGGAAAGAGCAGTTTTCTAACACTCTTTTTGTAAAATTTCCAAGTGCATACTTTGATTGCTTTGAAGCCTTTGGTAGACAATGAAATATCTGCATGTAAAAACTAGAAAGAATCATTCGCAGAAACCACGTTGTGATCTGTGCATTCAACTCACAGAGTTCAACCATTCTTTCTATAGAGCAGTTATGAAACACTCTCTTTGTAGAATTTGCAAGGGTGTATTTAGAGGGCATTGAAGCCTACGGTAGAAAAGGAAATATCTTACCATAAAAACTAGACAGAAGCATTCTCAGAAACTGAGTTGTGATGTTTGCGTTCAACTCACAGAGTTCAACATTCCTTTTAATAGAGCGGTTTTGAAACACTCTTTTTGCAGAATCTGCAAGTGGATATTTGGACCTCTTTGAGGCCTTCGTTGGAAACGGGATTTCTTTGTGTAATGATGGACAGTAGAATTCTAAGTAACTTCTTCGTGTTGTGTGTATTCAACTCACAGCGGTGAATCTTCCTTTAGACAGAGCAGATTTGAAACACTTTTTTGAGGAATTTGGAAGTGGAGATTTCAAGGGCTTTGAGGCCAATATTGGAAAAGGAAATATCTTCGTATATAAACTAGACAGAATCATTTTCAGAAACTACTTTGTGATGTGTGCTTTCAACTCACAGAGTTTAACCTTTCTTGTGATGGAGCATTTTGGAAACACTCTGTTTGTAAAGTCTGCAAGTGAATATTTAGACCTCTTTGAGACCTTTGTTGGAAACGGGATTTCTTCATATAATGCTAGACAGAAGAATTCTCAGTAACTACTTTGTATTGTGTGTATTCCACTCACAGAGTTGCACCTTCCTTTATTCAGAGCAGATTGGAAACACTCTTTTTGCGGAATGTTCAGTTGGAGATTTCAAGCGCTTTGAGGCCAATGGTAGAAAAGATATATCTTCGTAGAAAAAGTAGACTGAATGATTCTCAGAATCTGCTTTGTGATGTGTGCATTCAACTCACAGAGTTTAAGCTTTCTTTTCATAGTGCAGTTTGGAAACACTCTGTAAATTCTGCAACTGGATATTCGGACCTCTCTGAGGCCTTCATTGGAAACGGGATTTCTTTATATAATGCTAGACAGAAGAATTCTCAGTAACTTTTTTGTGTGTGTGTATTCAACCACAGAGTTGAAACTTCCTTTAGAAAGAGCAGATTGGAAACACTTTTTGTGGAATTTTCAGGTGGAGAGTTCAAGCGCTTTCAGGCCAATGGGAGAAAAGGCAATATCTTCGTATAAAAACTAGACGAAATCATTCTCAGAAACTACTTTGTTATGTGTGCATTCAACTCACAGATTTTAACAGTTCTTTTCATAGAGCAGTTTGGAAACCCTCTGTTTGTAAAGTCTTCAAGTGGATATTTTTACGGCTTTAAGGCCTACGTTGGAAACGGGATTTCTTCATATAAACCTAGGCAGAAGAATTCTGAGAATCTTCTTTTTGATGTGCATTCTACTCACAGAGTTGAACCTTTCTTTCGAAAGAGCAGTTTTCAAACACTCTTTTTGTGGAACTTCCATGTGCATACTTAGAGTGCTTTGAAGCCTACGGTAGACAAGAAAATATCTTTATGTAAAAACTAGACAGAATCATTCGCAGAAACCACGTTGTGATCTGTGCGTTCAACTCACAGAGTTCCACCTTTCTTTCCATAGAGCAATTATGAAACACTCTGTTTTTAGAATTTGCAAGGGTGGATTAAAGGGCTTTGAGGCCTATGGTAGAAAATTAATTATCTTACGATAAAAATTAAACACAAGCATTCTCAAAAACTAAGTTGTGGTATTTGTATTCAACTCACAGAGTTCAACATTCCTTTTGATAGAGTGGTTTTGATATACTCTTTTTGCAGAATCTTCAAGTGGATATTTGGACCTCTTTGAGGCCTTTTTGGAAACCGTATTTCTGCATATAATGGTAGATAGAAGAATTCTCTGTAACTTCTTTGTGTTGTGTGTATTCAACTCACAGAGTTGAACCTTCCTTTAGACAGAGCAGATGTGAAACTCTCTTTTTGTGGAATTTTCAGCTGGAGATTTCAAGCGCTTTGGGGCCAATGGTAGAAAAGGAAATATCTTCATATAAAAAGTAGACAGAATCATTCTCAGAAACTCCTTAGAGATTTGTGCGTTCAACTCACAGAGCTTAACCTTTGTTTTCATAGAGCAGTTTGGAAATACTATGTTTGTAAAATCTTCAAGTGGATATTTGGACCACTTTGAAGCCTTCGTTGGAAAAGAGATTTCTTCCTATAATGCTAGACAGAAGAATTCTCAGTAACTTCTTTGTGTGTGTGTATTCAACTCACAGAGTTGAACCTTCCTTTAGAGAGAGCAGATTGGAAACTCTCTTTTTCCGGAATTTTTAAGTGGAGATTTCAAAGGCTTTGAGGCCAATGATTGAAAAGGAAATATCTTCGTATAAAAAGTAGACAGAATCATTCCCAGAAACTACTTTGTGATGTGTGCGTTCATCTCACAAAGTTTCACCATTCTTTTGATAGAGCATTTTTGAAACACTCTGTTTACACATTCTGCATCTGCATATTTGGAGTGCTTTGAGGTTTTCTTTGTAAAAGGAAACATCTTCACATAAAAAGGGGACAGAAGTATTCTCAGAAACTCATTTGTGATGTCTGCACTCAACTCACAGAGGTGAACCTTCCTTTTCACAGACCGGTTTTGAAACAGTCTTTCTGTAGAATTTGCAAGTGAATATTATGAGTGCTTTGAGGCCTATGGTAGAAAAGGACATGTCTCCCCATAAAAACTAGACAGAACCATTCTGAGAAACTACTGTGTGATGTTTGCATTCAGCTCTCAGAGTTGAACATTACTCTTGATAGAGCAGTTTTGAAACACTCTTTTTGTAGAGTCTGCAAGTGGATATTTGGACCTCTTTGCAGCTTTTGTTTGAAACGGGATTTCTTCATATAAAACTTGACAGAAGAATTCTAAGAAACTTCTTTGTTATTTGTGCATTCAACTCACAGAAGTGAACGTTTCTTTCAATAGAGCAGTTTTGAAACAGTCTTTTTGTAGAATATCCAAGTGGATATTTATGAAGCTTTGAGGCCTATTTTAGAAAATGAAATATTTTCATATAAAAACTAGACAGAATCATTCTCAGAAACTACATTGGGATGTGTGCATTCAACTCACTGGTTTTACCCTTTCTTTTTATAATGCAGCTATGAAACACTCTTTTTGAAGAATTTGCAAGTGTGTATTTAGAGCTCTTTGAGGTCTATGGTAGAAAAGGAAATAGCTTCACAGAAAATCTAGGCAGAGGCATTATCAGAAACTACTTTGTAAAATTTGCATTCAACTCACAGAGTTCAGCATTCTTCTTGATAGAGCAGTTTTGAAACACTCTTTTTGTAGAATCTGCAAGTCGATATTTGGACCTATTTGAGGAATTCATTGGAACCGGGATTTCTTCATATAAAACCAGACAGAAGAATTATAATAAACGTCTTTGTGATGTGTGCATTCAACTCACAGAAGTGAACATTCCTTTCAATAGAGCACTTTTGCAACACTGTTTTTGTAGAATATTCAATCGGATATTTAGGGCGATTTGGGGCCTATCGTAGAAAAGGAAATATCTTCATATAAAAACTAGACAGAATCATTCTGAGAATGTTCTTTGTGATGTGTGCATTCAACTCACTGAGTTTACCCTTACTTTTTATAGAGCAGTTTTGAAACACTCTTTTTGTATAATTTGCAAGTGTGTATTTAGAGGTCTTTGAGGCCAATGGTAGAAAAGGTAATATCTTCATATAAAATCTAGACAGAAGCATTCTCAGGAACTACTTTGTGATGTCTGCATTCAGCTCAAGGAGTTGAACATTCCTTTTGATAGAGGAGATTTGAAACACTCTTTTTGTAGAATTTCCAAGTGGATATTTAGAGCGCTTTGAATCCTACGGTAGAAAAGGAGGTATCTTCATATAAAAACTAGACAGAATCATTCCCAGAAGCTACTTTGTGATGTGTGCCTTCAACTCACAGAGTTTAACCTTTCTTTTGATAGAATAGTTTTGAAACACTCTGTTTGTGAAGTCTGCATCTGGATACGTGGGGCGATTTGTGGTTTTCTTTGGAAATGGGAATATCTTCACATAAAAACTAGAACAAAATATTCTCAGAAACTTCTTTGTGATGTATACACTCAACTCACAGAGGTGAAGCTTCCTTATGACAGAGCAGTTTTGAAACACTCTTTTTGTAGTGTTTGCAAGTGGATATTTTGAGCACTTTGAGGCCTAGTGTAGAAAAGGAGATATCTTCACAGGAAAAGTAGACAGAACCATTCTCAGAAACTACTTTGTGATGTTTGCATTCAACTCACAGAACTGAACATTCCTCTTGATAGAGTAGTTTTGAAACACTCTTTTTGTAGAGTCTGCAAGTGGATATTTGGACCTCTTTGAGGAATTCATTGGAAACGGGATTTCTTCATATAAAACTAGACAGAAGAATTGTAAGAAACTTCTTTCTTTGTGATGTGTGCATTCAACTCACAGAGGTGAACGTTCCTTTCAATAGAGCAGTTTTGCAACACTCTTTTTGTAGAATATCCAAGTGGATATTTGGGGCACTTTGAGGCCAATGGTAGAAAAGGAAATATCTTCATATAAAAACTAGACGGAATCATTCTCAGAAACTACCTTGTGATGGGTGCATTCAACTCACTGGGTTTACACTTTCTTTTTCTAGAGCAGTTTTGAAACACTCTTTTTGTAGAATCTGGTATTGGATATTTGGAACTCTTTGAGGAATTCGTTGGAAATGGGTTTTCTTCATATAAAACTAGACAGAAGAATTCTCAGAAGCTTCTTTGTGATATGTGCATTCTACTCACAGAGTTGAACCTAACTTTTGATAGAACAGATTTGAAACACTCTTTTTGTAGTATTTCCAAGTGGATATTTAGAGCGCTTTTTATCCTGTGGTAGAAAAGGAAGTATCTTCATATAAAAACTAGACAGAAACAATCCCAGAAAGTACTTTGTGATGTGTGCCTTCAACTCAAAGAGTTTAACCTTTCTTTTGGTAGAGCAGATTTGAAACTCTCTGTTTGTGAAGTCTGCATCTGGATATTTGGAGCGCTTTGACGTTTTCTCTGGAAACGGAAGTATCTTCACATAAAAAGTAGAAAGAAATATTCTCAGAAACTCCTTTGTAATGTCTGCACTCAACTCACAGAGGTGAACCTTCCTTTTGACAGAGCAGTTTTGAAACTCTCTTTTTGTAGGGGTTGCAAGTGGATATTTTGAGCGCTTTGAGGCCTATTGTAGAAAAGGAGATATCTTCACATAAAAATTAGACAGAACCATACTCAGAAACTACTTTGTGATGTTTACATTCAACTCACAGAGTTGAACATTCCTCTTGACAGAGCAGTTTTGAAACACTCTTTTTGTAGAGTCTGCAAGTTTATATTTGGACCTCTTTGAGGCCTTCGTTGGTAACGGGAATTCTTCATATAAAACTAGACAGAAGATTTCTCAGAAACTTCTTTGTGACGTGTGCATTCAACTCATGGAGGTGAAAGTTCCTTTTTATAGAGCAGTTTTGCATCACTGTTTTTGTAGTATATCCAAGTGGGTATTTAGGGCGCTTTGAGGCCTTTGGTAGAAAGGGAAATATCTTCATATAAAAACTAGACAGAATCATTCTGAGAAACTACTTTGTGATGTGTGCATTCAACTCAATGAGTTTACCCTTTCTTTTTATAGAGCAGTTTTGAAACACTCTTTTTGTAGAATTTCCAAGTGTGTATTTAGAGCTCTTTGAGGCCTCTCATAGAAAAGTAAGTATCTTCACATAAAATCTAGACAGAAGCATTCTCAGAAACTACTTTCTGATGTTTGCATTCAACTCACAGAGTTGAGCATTCCTCTTGACAGAGCAGTTTTGAGACACTCTTTTTGTAGAATCTGCAAGTGGATATTTGGACCTCTTTGAGGAATTTGTAGGAAACGGGATTTCTTCATATAAAACTAGACAGAAGAATTCTCAGAAACTTCTTTGTGATGTGTGCATTCAACTCACAGAGTTGAACCTTACTTTTGACAGAGCAGATGTGAAGAACTCTTTTTGTAGAATTTCCAAGTGGATATTAAGAGCGCTTTGAATCCCATGGTAGAAAAGGAAGTATCTTCTTATAAAAACTAGACAGAATCAATCCCAGAGACTACTTTGTCATGTGTGTGTTCAGCTCACAGAGTTTAACCTTTCTTTTGATAGAGCGGTTTTGAAACCCACTGAAACTACTTTGTGATGTGTGCTTTCAACTCACAGAGTTTAACATTTCTTTTGATAGAGCAGTTTGGAACACACTTTTTGTACGACTTGCAAGTGTATATTTAGAGTGCTTTGAGCCCTAAGGAAGAAAAGGAAATATCTTCATGTAAAAACTAGACAGAAGCATTCCCAGAAACTATTTTGTGATGTTTGCATTCAACTCAGGGAGTTGAACATTCCTCTTGATAGAGCAGTTTTGAAACCCTCTTTTTGTAGAATTTCCAAGTGGATATTTAGATCGGTTTGAGGCCTTCGGTAGAAAAGGAAATATCTTCAGACAAAAACTAGACAGAATGATTCTCAGAAACTACTTTTTGATGTGTGCATTCAACTGACAGAGTTTAAGCTTTCTTTTGATAGAGCTGTTTTGAAACACACTTTTTGTGGAAATTGCAAGTGAATATTAGAGTGCTTTCAGGCCTATGGAAGAAAAGGAAATATCTTCACATAAAAACTAGACAGAAGCGTGCTCAGAAACTATTTTGTGATGTTTGCATTCAACTCACAGAGTTGAACATTCCTCTTGATAGAGCAGTTTTGAAACACTCTTTTTGTTGAATCTGCAAGTGGATATTTGGAGCTCTTTGAGGCCTACGTTGAAAACTTTATTACTTCATATAAAACTAGACAGAAGAATTCTCAGAAACTTCTATGTGATGTGTGCATTGAACTCAGAGTTGAACTTTCCCTTCGATAGAGCAGTTTCGAAACACTCTTTTTGTCGGAGTTCCAAGTGAATATTTAGAGCGCTTTGCCTCCTATGGTAGAAAAGGAGATATCTTCACAGAAAAACTAGGCAGAATGATTATAAGAAACTACTTTGTGATGTGTGTGTTCAACTGAAAGAGTTAAACTTTTTGTTTGATAGAGCAGTTTTGAAACACTGTTTTTGTAGGATTTGCAAGTGGATATTTAGAGCGCTTTGAGGCCTATGGTAGAAAAGGAAATATCTTCATATAAAAACTAGACAGAATCATTCTCTGAAACTACTTTGTGATGTGTGCGTTCAAGTGACAGAGGTTAACATTTCTTTTGATACAGCAGTTTTGAAACACTCTGTTTGTAATGTCTGCAAGTGGATATTTGGAGCACTTTGTGGCCTTCTTTGGAAACGGAAATATCTTCACATAAAAAGTAGACAGAAATATTCCCAGAAACTTCTTTTTGATGTCTGCAGTCAACTCACAGAGTTGAACGTTCGTTTTCCTAGAGCAGTTTTGAAACACTGTTTTTGTAGAATTTTCAAGTGGATATTTACAACGCTTTGGGGCCTATGATGTAAAAGGAAATATGGTCATAGCATAACTACACGGAAACATTCTCAGAAACTACTTTGTGATGGGTGGGTTCAACTCACAGAGTTTAAACTTTTTTTTGATAGAACAGGTTTGAAACACTCTTTTTGTAGAATTTGCAAGGTTATATTTAGAGTGCTTTGAGGCCAATGGTAGAAAAGGAAATATCTTCACATAAAAACTAGACAGAAGCATTTTCAGAAACTACTTTGTGATGTTTGCATTCAACTCACAGAGTTGAACATTCCTCTTGAGAGAGTCGTTTTGAAACAATCTTTTTGTACAATCTGTAAGTGGATATTTGGACCTCTTTGAGGCCTTCATTGGAAACGGGGTTTCGTCTTATAAAACTAGACAGAAAAATTCTCAGAAACTTCTTTGTGATGTGTGCCTTGAACTCACAGAGTTGAACCTTTTGATAGAGCAGTTTTGAAACCCTCTTTTTGTAGAATTTCCAAGTGGATATTTAGATCTGTTTGAGGCCTACGGTAGAAAAGGCTATATCCTCGTAGAAAAACTAGACCGAACGATTCTTAGAGACTACTTTGTGATGTGTGCGTTCAACTCACAGTTTAAACTTTCTTTTGATAGAGCAGCTTTGAAACCGTCCTTTTGTAGAATTTGCACGTGTGTATTTAGAGCGGTTTGATGCCTAAAGTAGAAAAGGAAATATCTTCATAGAAAAACTAGACAAAATGATTCTCAGAGACTAATTTGCGATGTGTGAGGTCAACGCACAGAGTTTAAACTTTTGATAGATCTGTTTTGTATATCAGTCTTTTTGTAGAATTTGCATGTGTGTATTTAGAGGGCTTTAAGGCCTGTGGTAGAAAAGGAAATATCTTCATATAAAAAATAGACAGAAGAATTCTCAAAAACTTGTTTATGATGTTTGCATTCTACTCACAGATTTGAATATTCCTCCAGATAGAGCGGTTTTGAAATTCTCTTTGTGTAGAATCTGGAAGTGGATATTTGGACCTCTTTAAGGCCTTCATTGGAAACGGGATTTCTTCATATAAAATTAGAAGAATTCTCAGTAACATTTTTGTGATGTGTTCATTCAATTCACAGAGTTTAAACTTTCTTTTGATAGAGTAGTTTTGAAACGCTCTTTTGGTAGAATTTGCAAGTGTATATTTACAGCACTTTGATGTCTACTGTAGAAAAGGAAATATCTTCATATAGAAACTAGACAGAAGCATTCTCAGAAAGTACTTAGTGATGTTTGCATTCAACTCACAGAGCTGAACATTCCTCATTATAGAGTAGTTTTGAAACGATCATTAATAGAATCTGTAAGTGGATATTTGGACCTCTTTGAGGTCTTCGTTGGAAACGGGAATTCTTCATATAAAACTATACAGAAGAATTCTCAGAAACTTCTATGTGATGTGTGCATTGAACTCACAGAGTTGAACTTTGATAGAGCAGTTTCAAAACACTCTTTTTGTAGAAGTTCCAGGTGAGTATTTAGAGCACTTTGAGTCCTATAGTAGAAAAGGAAATATATTCACAGAAAAACTAGACAGAATGATTCTCAGAAAATACTTTGTGATGTGTGTGTTCAACTCACAGAGTTAAACTTTTCTTTTGATAGAGCTGTTTTGAAACACTGTTTTAATAGGATTTGCAAGTGGATATTTAGAGCGTTTTGAGGCCTATTGTAGAAAAAGAAATATCTTCATATTAAAACCAGACAGAATCATTCTCCAAAACTACTTTGTGATGTGTGCTTTCAACTGACATAGGTTAACCTTTCTTTTGATAGAGCAGTTTTGAAACACTCTGTTGTAAAGTCTGCAAGTGGATATTTGGAGCACTATGTGGTCTTATTTGGAAACGGAAATATTTTCATATAAAAAGTAGACAGAAGTATTCCCAGAAAATTCTTTGTGATGTCTGCACTGAACTCACAGAGTTGAACCTTCCTTTTGCTGGAGCAGTTTTGAAACACTGTTTTTCTAGAATTTGCAAGTGGATATTTAAAGCATTTTGGGGCCTATCATGTAAAAGGAAATATGTTCATAGAAAAACTACACAGAAACATTCTCAGAAACTACTTTGTCATGGGTGGGGTCAACTCACAGAGTTTAAACTTTCTTTTGATAGAGCAGCTTTGAAACATTCTTTTTGTAGAATTTGCAAGTGTATATTTAGAGTGCTTTGAAGCCTAGGGTAGAAAAGGAAATATCTTCACATAAAAACTAGACAGAAGCATTCTCAGAAACTACTTTGTGATGTTTGCATTCAACTCACAGAGTTGAACATTCCTCCTGATAGAGCCGTTTTGAAACAATCTTTTTTTACAATCTGTAAGTGGATATTTGGACCTCTTTGAGGCCTTCATTGGAAACGGGATTTCTTCTTATAAAACTAGACATAAGAATTCCCAGAAACTTCTTTGTGATGTGTGCCTCGAACTCACAGAGTTGAACCTTCCTTTTGACAGAGCAGTTTTGAAATCCTCTTTTTGTAGAATTTCCAGGTGGATATTTAGATCGGTTTGAGGCCTATGGTAGAAAAGAAAATATCTTCATAGAAAAACTAGACCGAATGATTGTCAGAGACTACTTTGTGATGTGTGCATTCAACTCACAGAGTTAAAACTTTCTTTTGATAGAGCAGCTTTGAAAGAGTCCTTTTGTAGAATTTGCAAGTGTGTATTTAGAGAGGTTTGAGGCTTAAGGTAGAAAAGGAAATATCTTCATAGAAAAACTAGACAGAATGATTCTCAGAAACTAATTTGCGATGTGTGCGGTCAACGCACAGAGTTTAAACTTTCTTTTGATAGAGCAGTTTTGAAACAGTCTTTTTGTAGAATTTGCAAATATGTGTTTAGAGGGCTTTGAGGCCTGTGGTAGAAAAGGAAATATCTTCATATAAAAAATAGAAGCATTCTCAGAAACTCGTTTGTGATGTTTGCATTCTACTCACAGATTTGAATATTCCTCCGGATAGAGCAGTTTTGAAACACTCCTTTTGTAGAATCTTCAAGTGGATATTTGGACCTCTTTAAGGCCTTCGTTGGAAATGGGATTTCTTCATATAAAATTAGAAGAATTCTCAGTAACTTTTTTGTGATGTGTGCATTCAATTCATAGAGTTTAAACTTTCTTTTGATAGAGCAGTATTGAAATGCTCTTTTGGTAGAATTTGCAAGTGTATATTTACAGCACTTTGAGGCCTACTGTAGAAAAGGAAATATCTTCATATAGAAACTAGACAGAAGCATTCTCAGAAACCACTTAATGATGTTTGCATTCAACTCACAGAGCTGAACATTCCTCATTATAGAGCAGTTTTGAAACACTCCTTAGTAGAATCTGTAAGTGGATATTTGGACCTCTTTGAGGCCTTCATTGGAAACGGGATTTATTCATATAAAACTATACAGTAGAATTCTCAGAAACTTCTTTGTGATGTGTGTATTCAACTCACAGAGTTGAACCTTCCTTTCGATAGAGCAGTTATGAAACACTCTTTTTGTAGAATTTCCAAGTGGATATTTTGGTCGGTTTGAGGCCTATGGTAGAAAAGCCAATATCTTCACAGAAAAACTAGACAGAATGATTCTCAGAAACTACTTTGTGATGTGTGCGTTAAACTCACAGAGTTTAATCTTTCTTTTGATAGAGCAGTTTTGAAACACACTTTTTGTAGTATTTGAAAGCGTATATTTAGAGTGCTTTCAGGCCTATGGAAGAAAAGGTATTATCTTCATATAAAAACTAGACAGAATCATTCTCCTAAACTAATTTGTGATGTGTGCGTTCAACTCACAGAATTTAACCTTTCTTTTGATATAGCAGTTTTGAAACCCTGTCTTTGTAAAGTCTGCAAGTAGATATTTGGAGCGCTTTGAGGCCTTCTTTCGAAACGGAAGTATCTTCACATAAAAAGAAGACAGCAGTATTCCCAGAAACTTCTTTGTGATGTCTGCACTCAACTCACAGAATTAAACCTTTCCTTTGATAGAGGAGTTTTGAAACACTCTTTTTGTAGAATTTGCAAGTGGATATTTAAGGCACTTTGGGGCCTTCGGTGGAAAAAAATTATGTTCATAGAAAAACTACCCAGAAGCATTCTTAGAAACTACTTAGTGACATTGGCATTCAACTCACAGAGCTGAACATTCCTCATTATACAGCAGTTTTGAAACCCTCCTTGTGTAGAATCTGCAAATGGATATTTAGACCTCTTTGAGTTCTTCGTTGGAATCAGGATTTCTTCATACAAAACTAGACAGAAGCATTCTCAGAGACTTCTTTGTGATGTGTGCATTCAACTCACTGTGTTGAACCTTCCTTTCGATAGAGCAGTTTTGAAATACACTTTTTGTAGAGTTTCCAAGTGGATATTTAGATCGATTTGAGGCCTATAGTAGAAAAGGAAAAATCTTCATAGAAAAAGTAGACAGAATGATTCTCAGAAACTACTTTGTGATATGTGCGTTCAACTGATGGAGTTTAACCTTTCTTTTGTTAGAGCAGTTTTGAAACAATCTGTTTGTAAAGTCTGCAAGTGGATATTTGGAGCGCTTTGAGGCCTTCGTTGGAAACGGGTGTATCTTCACATAAAAAGTAGACAGAAGTATTCCCAGAAACTTCTTTGTGATGTCTGCACTCAACTCACAGAGTTGAACCATCCTTTTGATAGAGCAGTTTTGAAACACTCATTTTGTAGAATTTTCAAGTGGATATTTATAGCGCTTTGGGGCCATTGGTGGAAAAGGAAATATGTTCATAGAAAAAGTACACAGAAACATTCTCAGAAACTACTTTGTGATGGGTGGGTTCAACTCACAGAGTTTAAACTTTCTTTTGATAGAACAGCATTGAAACACTCTTTCTGTAGAACTTGTAATTGTATATTTAGGGTGCTTTGAGGCCTATGGAAGAAAAGGAAATATCTTCACATAAAAACTAGACAGAAGCATTCTCAGAAATTATTTCATGATGTTTGCATTCATCTCACAGAGTTGAAGATTCCTCTTGATAGAGCAGTTTTTGAAACACTCTTTTTGTAGAATTGCAAGTGGATATTTGGACCTCTTTGAGGCCTTCGTTGGAAACGAGATTACTTCATATAAAACTAGACAGAAGAATTCTCAGAAACTTTTTTTGTGATGTGTGCATTGAACTCACATAGTTGAACCTTCCATTCTATAGAGCAGTTTTGAAACACTCTTTTTGTAGAAGTTCCATATGAATATTTAGAGTGCTTTGGGTCCTGCGGTAGAAAAGGAAATATCTTCATAGAAAAGCTAGACAGAATGATTCTCAGAAACTACTTTGTGATGTGTGTGTTCAACTCACAGAGTTAAACTTTTCTTTTGATAGAGCAGTTTTGAAACACTGTTTTTGTAGGAGTTGCAAGTGGATATTTAGATCACTTTGAGACCTATTGTAGAAAAGGAAATATCTTCATATAAAAACTAGACAGAATCTTTCTCCGAAACTACTTTGTGATGTGTGCGTTCAACTCACAGAGTTTAACATTTCTTTTGATAGAGCAGTTTTGAAATCCTCTTTTTGTAAAGTCTGCAAGTAAATATTTGGAGCGCTTTGCGGCCTTCTTTGGAAACGGGAGTATCTTCATATAAAAAGACGACAGTAGTATTCCCAGAAACTTCTTTGTGATGTCTGCACTCAACTCACAGAGTTAAACCTTCCTTTTGATAGAGAAGTTTTGAAACACTCTTTTTTGTACAATTTGCAAGTGGATATTTAAAGCGTTTTGGGACCAAAGGTGGAAAAAATATATTCATACAAAAACACAGGAGCATTCTCAGAAACTACTTAGTGATGTTTGCATTCAACTCACACAGCTGAACATTCCTCATTATAGAGCAATTTTGAAACACTCCTTTTGTACAATCTGCAAGTGGATATTTGGACCTCTTTGAGGCTTTCGTTGGATATGGGATTTCTTCATATAAAACTAGACGGAAGAATTCTCAGAAACTTTTTGTGATGTTTGCATTTAACTCACAGAGATGAACCTTCCTTTCGAAAGAGAAGTTTTGAAACCCTCTTTTTGTAGAATTTCCGAGTGGAAATTTAGGTCGGTTTGAGGCCTATGGTAGAAAAGGACATATCTTTATAGAAAAACTAGACAGAATCATTCTCAGAAACTACTTTGTGATGTGTGCATTCAATTCAGAGTTTAACATTTCTTTTGATAGTGCAGTTTTGAAACACAATTTTTGTAGAATTTGCAAGTGTATATATAGAATGCTTTGAGGCCTATGGAAGAAAAGGGAACATCTTCACACAAAAACTAGACAGAAGCATTCTCAGAAACTATTTTTTGATGTTTGCATTCACCTCGCAGAGTTGAACATTCCTGTTGATAGAGCAGTGTTGAAACACTATTTTTGTAGAATCTGCAAGTGGATATTTGGACCAATTTGAGGCCTTCATTGGAAACGGGATTACTTCATAGAAAACTATACTGAAAAATTCTCAGAAACTTCCTTATGATGTGTGCATTGAACTCACGGAGTTGAACCTTCCCTTCTGTAGAGCAGTTTTGAGACACTCTTTTGGTAGATGTTCCAAGTGAATATTTATAGCGCTTTGAGTCCTATGGTAGAAAAGGAAATATCTTCATAGAAAAACTAGGCAGAATGATTCTCAGAAACTACTTTGTGATGTGTGTGTTCAACTTACAGAGTTTAACCTTTCTTTTGATACTGCAGTTTTGAAACCCTCTGTTTGTAAAGTCTGCAAGTAGATTTTTTGAGTGCTTTGAGGCCTTTGTTGGAAACGGGAGTATCTTCTCATAAAAAGAAGACAGTAGTATTCCCAGAAACTTCTCTGTGATGTCTGCACTCAACTCACAGAGTTAAACCTTGCTTTGTTAGAGGAGTTCTGAAACACTCTTTTTGTACAATTTGCAAGTGGATATTTAAAGTGCTTTGGGGCCAATGGTGGAAAAAAATCTATGTTCATAGAAAAACTACACAGAAGCATTCTCAGAAACTACTTAGTGATGTTTGCATTCAACTCACAGAGCTGAACAATCCTCATTATAGAACAGTTTTGAAACACTCCTTTTGTAGAAACTGCAAGTAGATATTAGGACCTCTTTGAGGCCTTCGTTGGAAAAGGGATTTCTTCATATAAAACTAGACAGAAGAATTCTCAGAAACTTCTTTGTGATGTGTGGGTTCAACTCACAGAGTTTAACATTTCTTTTGACAGAGCAGTTTTGAAACACTCTTTTTGTAGAATTTCCAAGTGGATATTTAGAACAGTTTGAGGCCTATGGTAGAAAACGAAATATCTTCAGAGAAAAACTAGACAGAATGATTCTCAGAAACTACTTTGTGATGTGTGTGTTCAACTGACAGTGTTTAATATTTCTTTTGATAGAGTAGTTTTGAAACACACTTTTTGTAGAATTTGTGAGTGTATATTTAGAGTGCTTTGAGGCCTATGGAAGAAAAAGGAAATATCTTCACATAAAAACTAGACAGAAGCATTCTCTGAAACTATTTTGTCATGTTTGCATTCAACTCACAGAGTTGAACATTCCTCTTGATAGAGCAGTTTTGAAACACTCTTTTTGTAGAATCTGCAAGTGGATATTTGGACCTCTTTGAGGCCTTCGTTGGAAATGGGATTACTTCATAGAAAACTAGACAGAATAATTCTCAGAAACTTCTTTGTGATGTGTGCATTGAACTCACAGAGTTGAAACTTCCCTTCTATAGAGCAGTTTTGAAACACTCTTTTTGTAGAAGTTCCAAGTGAATATTTAAAGCGTTTTGAGTCCTATCGTAGAAAAGGAAATATCTTCATAGAAAAACTTGGCGGAATGATTACCAGAAACTACTTTGTGATCTGTGTGCTGAACTCACAGAGTTAAACTTTTCTTTTGATAGAGCAGTTTTGAAACACTGTTTTTGTAGGATTTGCAAGTGGATATTTAGAGTGCTTTGAGGCCTATGGTAGAAAAGGAAATACCTTCACATAAAAACTAGACAGAATCATTCTCCAAAACTACTCTGTGATGTGTGTGTTCAACTCACAGAGTTTAAAATTTCTTTTGATAGAAAAGTTTTGAAATCCTCTGTTTGTAAAGTCTGCAAGTAGATATTTGGAGCGCTTTGAAGCCTTCTTTGGAAACGGGAGTATCTTCACATAAAAAGAAGACCGTATTATTCCCAGAAACTTCTTTGTGATGTCTGCACTCAACTCACAGAGTTAAACCTTCCTTTTGATAGAGGAGTTTTGAAACACTCTTTTTGTAGAATTTGCAAGTGGATATTTAAAGTGCTTTGGGGCATAAGATTGAAAAAAAAAGTGTGTTCATAGAAAAACTACACAGAAACATTCTCAGAAACTACTTAGTGATGTTTGCATTCAACTCACAGAGCTGAACATTCCTTATTATAGAGCAGTTTTGAAACACTTCTTTTGTAGAATCTGCAAGTGGATAGTTGGACCTCTTTGAGGCCTTCGTTGGAAATGGGATTTCTTCATATAAAAGAAGACAGAAGAATTCTCAGAAACTACTTTGTGATGTGTGCATTCAATCACAGTTTTGAAACTTCCCTTCTATAGAGCAGTTTTCATATACTCTTTTTGTAGAAGTTCCAAGTGAATATTTAGAGTGCTTTGAGTCCTATGGTAGAAAAGGAGATATCTTCATAGAAAAACTAGGCAGAATGATTCTCAGAAACTACTTTGTTATGTGTGCGTTCAACTGACAGAGTTTAACATTTCTTTTGATAGAGCAGTTTTGAAACGCTCTTTTTGTAGGATTTGCAAGTTTGTATTTAGAGGGCTTTGAGGCCTATGGTAAACACGAAATATCTTCATATAAAAACTAGACAGAAGTATTCTCAGAAACTAATTTGTGATGTTTGCTTTCAGCTCACTGAGTTCAACATTCCTTTTGATAGAGCAGTTTTGAAACACTCTTTTTGTAGAATCTGCAAGTGGGTATTTGGACCTCTTTGTGGCCTTCGTTGGAAATGGGAATTCTTCATATAAACAAGAAAGAAGAATTCTCAGAAATTACTTTGTGATGTGTGGGTTCAACTCACAGAGTTTAACATTTCTTTTGATAGAGTAGTTTTGAAACACTCTTTTTGTAGAATTTCCAAGTGGATGTTTAGAGCACATTGGGGCTCATGGTAGAAAAGGAAATATCTTCATAGAAAAACTGGACAGAATCTTTCTCAGAAACTACTTTGTGATGTTTGGATTCAACTCACAGAGGTGAGCATTTCTCTTGATAGAGCAGTTTTGAAACAACATTTTTGTAGATTCTGCAAGTGTATCTTTGGACCTCATGGAGGCTTTCGTTGGAAAAGGGATTTCTTCATATAAAAGTAGACAGAAGAATTCTCAGAAACTTCTTTTTGATGGGTCCATTGAACACACAGTGTTGAACTTTCCTTTCAATAGAGCAGTTTTGAAACACTCTTTTTGTAGAATTTGCAACTGTATATTTGGAGCGCTTTGATGTCTATGGTACAAAAGGAAAAATCTTCATATAAAAACTAGACAGAAGCATTCTCAGAAACTACTTTGTGATGTTTGCAGTCAACTCACAGAGTTGAACATTCCTCCTGATAGAGCAGTTTTGAAACACTCTTTTTATGGAGTCTGCAAGTTGATATTTGGACCTATTTGAGGCCTTCTTTGGAAATGGGATTATTCATATAAAACTAGACAGACGAATTCTTAGAATCTTTTTTGTGATGTGTGCATTGAACTCACAGATTTGAACCTTCCTTTCGATAGAGCGGTTTCGAAACACTCTTTTTGCAGAATTTCCAAGTGAATGTTTAGAGCACTTGGAGGCCTATGGTAGAAAAGGAAATATCTTCATAGAAAAACTAGACAGAAGCATTCTCAGAAACTACTTTGTGAAGTTTGCATTCAACTCACAGAGTTGAACATTCCTCTTGATAGAGCAGTTTTCAAACACTCTTTTTGTAGAATCTGCCAGTGGATATTTGGACCTCTTTGAGGCCTTCCTTGGAAACGGGATGTCTTCATATAAAACTAGACAGAAGAATTCTCAGAAACTACTTTGTGATGAGTGCGTTCAACACACAGATTTTAAACTTTCTTTGATAGAGTAGTTTTGAAACACTCTTTTGTAGTATTTGCATGTGTATATTTAGAGCGCTTTGAGGCCTATGGTAGAAAAGGAAATATCTTCACATAAAAACTAGACAGAAGCATTCTCAGAAACTAATTTGTGATGTGTGAATTCAACTCACAGAGGTGATCTTTCCTTTTCAGAAAGAAGTTTCGAAACCCTCTGTTTGTGAAGTCTGCATGTAGATATTTGGAGGCCTTTGAGGCCTTCTTTGGAAATGGGAGTATCTTCCCATAAAAAGTAGACAGAAGAATTCTCAGAAACTTCTTTATGATGTCTGCACTCAACTCACAGTCTTGAGCCTTCCTTTTCATAGAGCACTTTTGAAACACTCTTTTTGTAGAATTTACAAGTGTATATTAGGAGCACTTTGAGGCCTATGGTAGAAAAGGAAATATCTTCACATAAAAACTAGACAGAACCATACTGAGAAACTACTTTGTGATGTTTGCATTCAACTCACAGAGTTGAACATTCCTCTTGATAAAGCAGTTTTGAAACTATCTTTTTGTACAATCTGCAAGTTCATATTTGGACCTTTTTGAGTCCTTCTTGGGAAACGGGATTTCTTCATATAAAACTAGACAGAAGTACTCTCAGAAACTTTTTTGTGATGTCTGTCACTCAACTCACAGAGTTGAACCTTGCTTTTGATAGAGCAGTTTTGAAACACTCTTTTTGTAATATTTGCAAGTGGATATTTAGAGCGTTTTGAGGCCTATGGTAGGAAAGGAAATATCTTCATATAAAAACTACACAGAATCATTCTCAGAAATTAATTTGTGATGTTTGCGTTCAACTCACAGAGTTTAACCTTTCTTTCAATAGACGAGTTTTGAAACCCTCTGTTTGTAAAGTCTGCAAGTAGACATTTGGAGCGCTTTGAGGCCTTCTTTGGAAACGGGGGTATGTTCACATAAAAATTAGACAGAAGTACTCTCAGAAACTTCTTTGTGATGTGTGCATTTAACTCACAGAATTGAACGTTCCTTTCAATAGAGCAGTTATGAAACACTCTTTTTGTAGAATTTCCAAGTGGATATTTAGAGCGCTTTGAGTCCTATGGTAGAAAAGGAAATATCTACATATAAAAACTAGACAGAATCATTCTCAGAAACTACTTTGTTATGTGTGTGTTCAACTCACAGAGCTTAGCCTGCCTTTTGATAGAGCAGTTTTGAAACTCTCTGTGTGAAAAGTCTGCAGGTGGATATTTGGAGCGCTTTGAGGCCTTCTTTGGAAACGGGAGTATCTTCACATAAAAAGTAGATAGAAATATTCTCAGAAAGTAGTTTGTGATGTTTGCATTCAACTCACAGAGTTGAACATTACTCTTGTTAGAGCAGTTTTGAAACACTCTTTTTGTAGAATCTGCAAGTGGATATTTGGACCTCTTTGAGGACTTTGTTGGAAACGGGATTTCTTCATATAAAAGTAGACAGAAGAATTCTCAGAAACTTCTTTGTGATGTGTGCATTCACCGCACAGAGTTGAACCTTGCTTTCAATAGAGAAGTTTTGAAACACTCTTTTTGTAGAATTTCCAAGTGGATATTTAGAGCGCTTTGTGGCTTATGGTAGAAAAGGAAATATCTTCATAGAAAAACTAGACAGAATCATTCTCAAAAACTACTTTGTGAAGTGTGCGTTCAACTCAAAGAGTTTAACCTTTCTTTTGATAGAGCAGTTTTGAAACACTCTATTTGCAAAGTCTGCAAGTGGACACTTGGAGCGCTTTGAGGCCTTCTTTGGAAAAGGGAATATCTTCACATAAAAAGTAGACAGAAGCATTATCAGAAACTTATTTGTGATGTCTGCATTCAACTCACAGAGGTGAGCCTTCCATTTGATAGAGCAGTTTTGATACACTCTTTTTGTAGAATTTGCAAATGGATATTTAGAGCGCTTTGGGGCCTATGGTGGAAAAGGAAATGTGTTCAAAGAAAAACTAGTGGGAATCATTCTCAGAAAGTGCTTTGTGATGTGTGGGTTCAACTCACAGTGTTTAACCTTTCCTTTGATAGAACAGTTTTGAAACACTCTTTTGGTAGAATTTGGAAGCGTATATTTAGAGCACTTTGAGGCCTATGGTAGAAAAGGAAATATCTTCACATAAAAACTGGACAGAAGCATTCTCAGAAACTACTTTTGATGTTTGCATTCAAGTCACAGAGTTGAACATTCCTGTTGATAGAGCAGTTTTGAAACACTCTTTTTGTAGAATCTGCAATCCGATATTTGGATCCCTTTGAGGCCTTCGTTTGAAACGTGATTTCTTCATATAAAACTAGACAGAAGAATTCTCAGAAACTTCTTTGTGCTCTGTGCATTCAACTCACAGAGTTGAAACTTCCTTTCGATAGAGCAGTTTTGAAACACTCTTTTTGTAGAATTTCCAAGTGAATATTTGGAGCGCTTGGAGGCCTATGGTGGAAAGGGAAATGTCTTCATATAAAAACTAGACAGAACCATTCTCAGAAACTACTTTGTGACGTGTGCATTCAATTCACAGGGTTTAACATTTCTTTTGATAGAGCAGTTTTGAAACACTCTTTTTGTACAATTTGGAAGTGTATATTTAGAGAGCTTTGAGTCCTATGGTAGAAAAGGAAATATCTTTACATAAAAAATAGACAGAAGCATTCTCAGAAACTACTTTGTGGTGTTTGCTTTCAACTCACAGATTCTGAACCTTCCTCTTGATAGGGCAGTTTTGAAACACTCTTTTTGTAGAATTTGCAAGTGGATATTTAGAGTGCTTTGAGGTCTATGGTAGAAAAGGAAATATCTTCACATAAAAACTAGAGAAAAGCATTCTCAGAAACTACTTTGTGATATTTGCTTTCACCTCAGAGAGTTGAACATTCCTTTTGATAGAACAGTTTTGAAACACTCTTTTTGTATTATCTGCAAGTGGACATTTGGATCTTTTTAAAGCCTTCATTGGAAATGGAATTTCTTCATATAAAGCTAGACATAAGAATTCTCAGAAACTTCTTTGTGATGTGTGCATTCAACTCACGGAGTTGAACCTTCCTTTCAATAGAGCAGTTTTGAAACACTTTTTTTATAGAATTTCCAAGTGGTTATTTAGAGCCCTTTGAGGCCTATGGTAGAAAAGGAAATATCTTCATAGAAAAATTAGACAGAATCATTCTCAGAAACTGCTTTGTGATGTGTGCGTTCAACTCACAGAGTTTAGCCTTTCTTTTGATAGAGCTGTTTTGAAACACTCTATTTGTAAAGTCTGAAAGTGGATACTTGGAGTGCTTTGAGGCCTTCTTTGGAATCGGGAATATCTTCACATAAAAAGGAGACAGAAGTATTCTCAGAAACTTGTTTGTGATGTCTGCACTCAACTCACAGATATGAACCTTCCTGTTCATAGAGCAGTTTTCCAACACTCTTTTTGTAGTATTTGCACGTGGATATTTAGAGCGCTTTGGGGCCTAAGGAAGAAAAGGAAATATCTTCTTTGAAAAACTACAAAGAAGCATTCTAAGAAACTACTTTGAGATGTTTGCATTCAACTCATAGAGCTGAACATTCATTTTGGTGGAGCAATTTTGTAAAAATCTTTTTGTAGTATCTGCAAGTGTGTATTTGGACCTCTTTGAGGCCTTCGTTGGAAATGGGAATTTCTTCGTATAAAAACTAGACAGAAGAATTCTCAGAAACTTGTTTGTGATGTGTGCATTCAACTCAGAGAGTTGAACGTTCCTTTCTATACAGTAGTTTTGAAACACTCTTTTTGTAGAATTTCCAATGGATATTTAGAGCCCTTTGAGGCCTGTGGTAGAAACGGAAATATCTTCATATAAAAACTAGGCAGAATCATTTTCAGAAACTACTTTGTGATGTGTGTGTCAAACTCTCAGAGTTTAACCTTTCTTTTGATAGAACAGTTTTGGAACACTCTTTTTGAAGAATTTGTAAGTGTATATTTAGAGGGCTTTGAGGCCTACGTTAGAAAAGGAAATATCTTCTCAAAGAAACTAGACAGAAGCATTCTCAGAAACTTCTTTCCAATGTTTGCATTCAACTCACAGAGTTGAACTTTCTTTTTGATAGAGCAGTTTTGAAACACTCTTTTTGTAGAATTTGCAAGTGGCTAATTAGAGGGCTTTGGGGCCTATGGTAGAAAAGGAAATATCTTCATAGAAAAACTACACAGAAGCATTCTGAGAAACTGCTTTGTGATGTTTGCATTCAACTCAAAGAGTTGAACATTTGTAACACTCTTTTTGTAGAATCTGCAAGTGTATATTTTGACCTCTTTGAGGCATTCGTTGGAAACGGGAATTTCTTCATATAAAAACTAGATGAAGAATTCTCAAACTTCTTTGTGATGTGTGCATTCAACTTACAGAGTTGAACGTTCCTTTCATTAGAGCAGTCTTGAAACACACTTTTTGTAGAATTTCCAAGTGGATATTTAGAGCGCTTGGAGGCCTATGGTAGAAAAGGAAATATCTTCATAGAAAAACCAGACAGAATCATTCTCAGAAACTAATTTGTGATGTGTGCATTCAACTCGCAGAGTATAACCTTTCTTTTAATAGAGCAGTTTTGAAACGCACTTTTTGTAGAACTTGCAAGTGTGTATTTTGAAGGCTTTGAGGCCTATGGTAGAAAAGGAAATATCTTCATATAAAAACTAGATGGAAGCATTCTCAGAAACTACTTTGTGATGTTTGCATTCAACTAACAGAGTTGAACATTCCTCTTGATAGAGCAGTTTTGAAACACTCTTTTTGTAGAATCTGTAAGTGGATATTTGGACCTCTTTGAGGACTTCGTTGAAAATGGGATTTCTTCATATAAAACTAGACAGAAGAATTCTCAGAAACTCTTTGTGATGTGTGCATTTAACTCACAGGTTTGAACCTTCCCTTCAATAGAGCAGTTTTGAAAACCTCTTTTTGTAGAATTTCCAAGTGGTTATTTAGAGTGCCTAGAGGCCTATGGTAGAAAAGGAAATAGCTTCACAGAAAAAATTGAAACTATCATTCTCAGAAACTACTTTGTGATGTGTGCGTTTAACTCACAGAGTTTAACCTTTCTCTTGACAGAGCAGTCTTGAAAACTTTTCAGTAGAATTTGGAAGAGTATATTTAGAGCGCTTTGGGCCAATGGTAGAAAAGGAAATATTTTCACATAAAAACTAGACGGAAGCATTCTCAGAAACTACTTTGTGATGATTTCATTCAACTGACAGAGTTCAACGTTCCTGTTGATAGAGCAGTTTTGAAACTCTATTTTTGTAGTATCTGCCAGTGGATATTTGGACCTCTTTGAGGCCTTCGTTGGAAAGGGGAATTTCTTCACATAAAAACTAGACAGAAGAATTCTCAGAAACTTTTTGTGATGTGTGCATTCAACTCACAGAATTGAAACTTTCTTTTGATAGAGTAGTTTTTATCCACTCTTTTTGTAGAATTTGCAAGTGCATATTTAGAGCGCTTTGAAGCCTATGGTAGAAAAGGAAATATCTTCATATAAAAACTAGACAGAATCATTCTCAGAAACTACTTTGTGATGTGTGCATTCAACTCACAGAGTAAAACGTTTCCTTTGATAGAGAAATTCTGAACCACTCTGTTTGTAAAGTCTGCAAGTGGATATTTGGAGCGTTTTGAGGTCTTCTTTGGAAATGGGAGTATCTTCACATAAAAAGTAGACAGAAGTACTCTCAGAAACTTCTTTGTGATGTCTGCACTCCACTCACAGAGTTGAACCTTCCTTTTGATAGAGCAGTTTTGAAACACTCTTTTTGTAGAATTTCCTACTGGATATTTAGAGCGTTTTGAGGCCTATGGTAGAAAAGGAAATATCTTCATAGAATAACTAGACAGAATTATTCTCAGAAACTACTTTGTGATGTGTGCGTTCAACTCACAGAGTTTAACCTTTCTTTTGATAGAGCTGTTTTGAAACACTCTTGTAGGATTTGCAAGTGAATATTTAGAGTGCTTTGAAGCCTATGGTAGAAAAGGAAATATCTTCATATAAAAACTAGACAGAATCTTTCTCAGAAACTACTTTATGATGTGTGCATTGAAGTCACAGAGTATAACCTTTCTTTTGATAGAGCAGTTTTGAAACACTCTGTTTGTAAAGTCTGCAAGTGGATATTTGGGGCGCTTTGAGGCCTACGTAAAAAGTAGACGGAAGTGTTCTCAGAAACTTCTTTTTGATGTCTGCACTCAACTCAGAGAGTTGAACCTTCCTTTTGATTGAGCTGTTTTGAAACACTCTTTTTGTAGAATTTGCAAGTGGATATTTAGAGTGCTTTGAGGATTATGGTATCAAAGGAAATATCTTCATAGAAAAACTACACAGAAGTATTCTGAGAAAGTACTTTGTGATGTTTGCATTCAACTCACAGAGTTGAACATTCCTCTTGATAAAGCAGTTTTGAAACACTCTTTTTGTAGAATCTGCAAGTGGATATTTGGACCTGTTTGAGGCCTTCGTTGGAAACGGGATTTCTTCATGTAATACTAGACAGGAGAATTCTCAGAAATGACTTTGTGATGTGTGCATTCAACTCACAGAGCTTAAACTTTCTTTTGATAGAGCAGTTTTGAAACACTCTTTTTGTAGAATTTGCAAGTGTGTATTTAGAGCGCTTTGAAACCTATGGTAGAAAAGGAATTATCTTCACATAGAAACTAGACAGAAGCTTCCTGAGAGACTACTTTGTGATGTTTGCCTTCCACTCACAGAGTTGAACATTCCTCTTGATAGAGCAGTTTTCAAACACTCTTTTTGTAGAATCTGTAAGTGGATATTTGGACCTCTTTGAGGCCTTCGTTGTAAATGGGGTTCCTTCATATAAAACTAGACAGAAGACTTCTCAGAAACTTCTTTGTGAAGTGTGCTTTCAACTCACAGATTTGAACCTTCTTTTCAATAGAGGAGTTTTGAAACACTCTTTTTGTAGTATTTCCAAGTGGATATTTAGAAAGTTTTGAGGTCTATGGAAGAAAAGGAAATATCCTCATGGAAAAACCAGAAAGAATGATTCTCAGAAACTAGTTTGTGACTTGTGCATTGAACTCACAGAGTTTAACCTGTCTTTTGATAGAGCAGTTTTGAAACACTCTGTTTGTAAAGTCTGCAAGTGGATATTTGGTGCGCTTTGAGGCCTTCTTTGGAAATGCAAATATCTTCACATAAAAAGTAGACCGAAGTATTCTCAGAAACTTATCTGTGATGTTTGTACTCAGCTCAGAGAGTTGAACGTTCCTTTTGATAGAGCAATATTGAAACACTCTCTTTGTAGAATTGGCAATTGGATATTTTGAGCGCTTTGAGGCCTATGGTAGAAAAGGAAATATCTTCATATAAAAACTAGACAGAATCATCCTCTTAAACTACATTATGATGTGTGCATTCAACTCATAGAGTTTAACCTTTCTTTTGATAGAGCAGTTTTGAAACACTGTTTCTAAAGTCTGCAAGTGGGTATTTTGAACGCTTGGAGGCCTTCTTTGGAAGCGGGTGTATCTTCACATAAAAAGTAGACAGAAGTATTCTCAGAAACTTCTTTGTGATGTCTGCACTTAACTCACAGAGTGGAACCTTCCGTTTGATAGAGCAGTTTTGTAACACTCTTTTTGTAGAATTTGCAAGTGGATATTTAGCGAGCTTTGGGGCCTATGGTAGAAAAGGAAATATCTTCATAGAAAAACTGCACAGAAGCATTCTCAGAAACGACTTTGAGATGTGTGCATTCACCTTACAGAGTTTAACTTTTCTTTTGATAGAGCAGTTTTGAAACACTCTTTTTGTAGAATCTGCAACTGGATATTTAGAGCGCTTTGAGGTCTGTGGTAGAAAAGGAAATATCTTCACATAAAAATTAGACAGAAGCATTCTCGGAAACTACTTTGTGATGTTTGCATTTGACTAACAGGGTTGAACATTCCTCTTGATAGAGCAGTCTTGAAACACCCTTTTTGTAGAATCTGCAAGTGGACTTTTGGATCTCTTTGAGACCTTCGTTGGAAACGGGATTTCTTCATATAAAACTAGACAGAAGAATTCTCAGAAACTTCTTTGTGCTATGTGCATTCAACTCACAGAGTTGAACTTTCTTTTTGATAAAGCAGTTTCAAAAAACTATTTTTGTAGAATTCCCAAGTGTATATTTAGAGCGCTTTGAGGCCTGTGGTAGAAAAGGAAATATCTTCCTAGAAAAACTAGACAGAATCATTCTCAGAATCTACTTTGTGATGTGTGCCTTCAACTCACAGAGTTTAACCTTTCTTTTGATTGATAGAGCACTTTTGAAACACTCTTTATGTAGAATCTGCAAGTGAATATTTGGACTTTTTTGAGGCTTTCGTTGGAAACGGGATTTCTTCATATAAAACTTGCATTATTTTTGTAACCAGATAGATGTCAAAGGGCAAAATTTACCCAGTAATACTAATTTTTAAAATGAGATTTATATAAGAGTTAGTGATCGGTTATACTTATCTAAAAACAGTGGAAACTGTATTAGTTAATTCAGTGGGCTAATATAGTTTTAATAATGAAAGGACATCTTAACTCACCCCTAACCTTTCAACAATAATGAGAAATAAGCTATAAGTTATGCCAAATTGTATGATGGTTTTCATGAAATAGCCCAAACTTAGACAACTCGTTTAGGCTTTGCAGATGCAAACTGTGATAGATCTTCCCTCTCTTTCATTCCTGGTGATTTATGTGTTTGGTACATTGTTTTGTTTTCTATAAAAAGAAAAAAAATTAAAACACAGTTGGAAGCCAAAGTCGATTTAACCTGGATAGATATAGCTTTCTAGTTGTAGAGGAAATGCTAAAAATCTCATTGTGACAGTGTATTGCTTTCTTGGAAGGCTTGATAATTGTTACTTAGTTTAGTTTTGATTTATATTTAGTTTTGCTCAAAGCAGGAATTTGAAAAGCTTTATGAAACATAGACATATACTTTCATTTTTATCAATTAATGAAATTACACACTTGCTAAACTAAACATCTGTTGTGTTGCAAGTGCTAGGGATGCAGTTACCACTCACAGTCCAGTGGATGTAAGTGGTAACTACGTTAGCTCAGAGAAAAATTTCAGAAGAAATGGAGCCAACAGTTCCTAAAATGAAGTTTGCTTTCTGTCAGCAAAAGGTTCGCAGATGGGTTTGCCACTTTAAAGAGCTTTGGAATAGATTTATTACTTCATATACTTAACATGAAGAGATGCATGCTCTTTTTGTAAACGGTAATTGTTTTAAAAGTTGAAAAGAAAACCTTTGGAGAACTCAAAAATCTTCCTTGAAATAATTTTACTCAGAGCATTGGCCTCTCCCTGGTTTAGGAATCATTCTTGCCAGAGATTCAATCTCGAAAGTAAGTTGGAGGTGGGAAGGGGAGGATGGGAGAACTCAAATCATCGAGCACATGTGTTCCAGAAAACTGGAGCTATGGAAAACTTCTACCTAATGTGCTGTCATTGTGTTTTGTGGAATTGGCAGAAGCTGTGTAGTCAGTCAATCATTCTGTGCCTATTGTTTCAGTAATGCTGCCTAAAAGGAAAATTTTAAGAAAATGTCTGATGAAAGACTGATGTAATAACTTTACCCTGGGAGCCAGAGGGAATTACTAGATGATTTTAATTAGGGGTGTGGTTGACTTTCATTTTGAACATTTCACTCTGACCTTGGTATAAATTAGGGAAGGGGCAAGAATGGCAGCAGAAACAACAGTGGAGATGTATTAATAGTTTAGGGAAAAGGAAATGAAGACTGAAATTAAGATGAAGGGGTAGATGTGAAAATCTTTCCTATATGGACTTAACAGATGTCTAGAATATTTTGCTGTTACTGAGGTGATTTCTGTTTGCCTCTATTAGAAAGCATACTATATAGATTGACAGAAGTGACTGAGAAAGCCCACTCTGTCTGCTCTGTTTTCAGAGAACTGACTTTTGAAATGTCTAGATAAATCATTTAAATCGTTTTAGAACACAGCTTTGGTTCTGAGACATGAAATCTCTTGAACAATGAAAATGGCATTTTGTAACAGGATTTGACATTAACAGATAAAGGATGTATTAAAGTATTAAAGTGTTTTGTTTATAGAATTTGATAACCTTGATAACATCTTATATGTTACATATATGTTACTTAGTATATTTTTAATACTTAGTACTTAGTATTTTGATACTTAGTATTTTTCAGGGATACTGAAAGTCTATTGATTGTGCTAAAATTGCAGCAGATCGTCTCACTTTATTGTATTTTAAATTAGTAACTGTCGAGGTGTTGACTCTTGTACAAAATTGGGAAAGCTTCTCCATTATTATCAGAATATGGCACTTTGGCCAACTTTTAAAAAAATATATAAAAGATATTTTTAGATGATAGCATTATTTGCATAATATAAAAATTAGATTTGATGAACTAATGTTTTCCATTTTTAGGAAATTGTAATTAATGTATGAAAAAAATTAGAAAGACAGGATACACTACATAAACCCAAAAGATATCTTTCAGTTTGTTGCTTGTCTTAAGGTTCTTTTTTGTGAATTGTTAAATGATTGATTAGTAAAATATGAGAACCATTTTGATCATAATTGAATCTTGAGGAGATTTATCTTTTATTTTTGTTTTGATGTTAAGTTTACCTCAAGCTATCTGATTACTTTGAATGAATGTCTTTAATTTCCTTGTGTCAAATTCTTATAAAAAGGCATTCTCTTAAGAACAGAGAAGAAAATAGAGATACATAGATATATAATTAATATTGTTGTAATAAAACAGATCATAAATTCACATTTTGATGATATGCTGTCAAGTTGGTACACAGTATTGGCTCTGACTTCTTATTTCCTAGCTCAATTTGAGGTCATATTTCAATATTAAATACTTTTGAGTTGTTTCTGTATACTTAAAAGATATCCTTGGTTCCTTATAGTCATGTGGCTGACAGAATAAAGTACATACACTTCTGTATGTAACCAGTTTCACAGTGGCTTAGCTATAAATCAGAATTTATCTTCCCAATTTATTCATCATCTTAGGACTCGGTGCTACAAGATTGGTTGTTATACAATTTTACATTTAGAAGTTTTTCCATTTTTATTTACAAAGATAATAGTCTCATAAGTGAATGCTTTTTCATGAACTCAGGACACTCCCTTTTACTCTCTGTTTTGCTCACCTTTTTCTTTACTTTTAAACTTAGTGACATACCCTATGTCCTTAGAACCATGTAGCTAGCTTTGATCACGTAATGTGTCAGGTTTTTATATAATTTCTTGATTTGAAAAAAGAGAAATAGAACCTTATATTTTTAAGTATTGCCTCCCTATCTGCCCTTCAGCTCGTTTTACATTTAGTATTCAAATATGTTCGGTGTTCGGCCTTTGCTGTTTTTACTAATTTTCTTCCCTGCTTTTAGTTAACAGCCAGGTCCTTGCCTGCTGTGCAGTCTGATGAAAGACTTCAGCCTCTGCTCAATCACCTCAGGTAATATAAAGGCACAGCCTGTTATGCTTATAAATCCAAGTGCAGTAAAGTGAATAAAGTATATTAAAGTGGTGAAACCCTTTCAATTACTAAAAACTTATTTTTTTTCTTGCTTTCATTCCGTTATTCAAATTGAAGTTCTTAATACCATGGACTCGTTACCCTTGACTTTAGGGCACTGTAGAAAGCTCTTTTAATTCAACAACAGTGTGCTGAACTGCTTGATAAGTTTAAGTTAAATGAGTAGAGATAACTAACTTTACAGAAAGATCTCAAATGAATGAGCTATTTATGTAAATACAAGGTTAAGGCATACTTTTATTGAGGATAGATGAGTTGGATGGAGTTTGTTTCTAAATACAAAAATAATATAGTCTCATTATTTAAAAAATAAAGTTAGAAAATACAGGAAAGGAAAAGGAAAACCCTATCATTACTACTCAGAAATAATATTTATCCTTTCTATGTTTTTTAATTTTAATTTTAATTTTTTATTTTTTGAGATGGAATCTTGCTCTGTCACCCAGGCTAGAGTGCAGTGGTGTGATCTCCGCTCACTGCAACCTCCGCCTCCCCGATTCAAGCAATTCTTGTGCCTCAGCTTCCCAAGTAGCTAGGATTACAGGTGTGGGGCACCTCGCCTGTTTAATTTTTGTATTTTTAGTAGAGACAGGGTTTTGCCATATTGGCCAGACTGGTCTCGAACTCCTGACCTCAGGTGATCCACCTGCTTCAGCCTCCCAAAGTGCTGGGATTACAGGCATAAGCCACCGCACCCTGCCCTTTCTATGTTTTTGTTGTTGTTGTTGTCATTGTTGTTTTTTACTCAGTGTTGAAATTATAGTTTATGTGACTACTTTTTCCATTTTTATAAATATTGTAATATTTTTTCCTTTAGTATTAAAATCTTTCTAAAAACATTATTGTTAGTGACTACATTATATTTTCTTGTATATCTGTACTATAGCATATTTATCTCCCTTTGGGAAGCTTTAGACCATTTCCAGTTTTTTATTCCTACTATAAAATAATGTGATATGTTAACCTTTATTTGTATTTTAGATCATTTTCTTAGGGTAGGTTTTCAGAATTAGAATTACTTTGTCAAAGGGTGTGAACCATTTCAAAGATTTAAGTGTATATGTATATTTCTTTTTCAAAATCTTATTCTACCTATACACTCATATTTGTATAATACTGCCATGTAACTATACTCTGAACAAGATAGGGCAGTCAAAACAGTTGCTAATAGGTTAGACATAGAGATACTGTTGTGATACTGTGCATTTTGTCGGTAATAATAATTCATTTTCCTTATTTTTGAGGTGGGATTAACTACCTGTATTCTTTGCTCACTTATTGATAGCATCTCCTGATCTTATTTGCTTTTACATACTTTAAAGGATAGTGACTCTTTGTTGTATTTGTTACATACATTTTTTCTAAAATTCTAAAATTGTATTAGTCAACATACCTACATTTTCAGGTTTTATGTAGTCAAGCACCAATAGTGTTTTCCTTTATGGTTTTGAAAAATTATTTTTAAACTTCTCTTTCAGAAGTGTGGATAGATTTTTACTTTCACCAGAAAGTTTTAGTTTTAGTTTTCTTTTTCTTTCTTAGTATTTCTTTATTTGTCCTTTCTTTCTTCCTCCCCTCTCCACTTTCCTTGCCTTTTCTTCCTGCTCTCCAGTAACTGTTCCTTCCCAGACAGCTTTTTAACCTTTGTATAATTGTTTTGTTGGGTTACGAAGAAGTCGTAACCTTTGTGTAATTGTTTTGTCGGATTGATCAAGTCTAATATTTCAGCAGGGAATGAATAGCATACATTTTTATGTATAACAACATTTATACATGATTGTTAAATTTACTAGAACTCTGTGTTAGTGAGTTAAGAATCTCAGAAATTATTTTTGAGTCTCTTGCTTAATGTCCACCTGCTGCATTCAACTCTGTTGGCAATTTTATCTCTTGAGTATATCTCTTGCTATCATAGCATCTTGTCTGTTTGCTTTGCCCTTTCTGATATATTTCACATCATTGCCATATGTGTTTATATTATTCATTGGCTTAAGACCCATCTCTGCCTCTCCAATTTCATTCTGGAGGAAGTCCGAACTTCTTAGCCTGGCATAAGAGGTCCTTCTGGAAGAGGCCTGGGCTGTCTGTCTCTTTGGACTCCTGTTTTAACACTGAGATCCTAATTTCACCAAATGCCGTGAAGTTCCTTTAACACAACATGCTTTTTGCTCACTCACCTCTACGGCATTACAAATATTTTTCCTTCTGCCACTTCTGTTTATGTAAATTTGTAGATATATAATATATATAATTTTAAAACATTTCAAATGTATTTAATATAATTTTAAGATATTTTAAATGTATTTAATATAATTTTAAAACATTTTAAATATATAATATAAATATATATTTTAGAAATATATATTTAAAGCATATTGTAGATGTATATAAATACGCAAATCTATTTATATTCTCCTCATGCTCCACTTTTATAACAACTTCTGCTTGTCTTTTAAAACTCATCTCAAACATTACCTCTTCTGATAAGTTTTCCCTGACCATTAATTAGTTCACCTCCGTAGTCTGAATTGGAAGTCTTTTATAGATATTTTCATAATATCCCATGCCTTCCTCTGTATTACAGAATTTGTGATATTGTTATTGTTTGTTTACTGTTTGATTTCTCCATTATAGTATGCTTGAAGGCTTGTAAAGTGATGTTCATATTTGTATTTTCAATAGCGGAGACAGTATCTGGTGTATGATAGGTATTATATGTTTTGTTGAATGAATGAATACAAGTTATATTAGTGAAATTTTGTTGTTTTTTTCTGCATAAAGTTTTTATAATTTATAAATCATCTTGTCAAAATTTTTTTCCTAGAAAACCACTGGTTCAAAAGGTAAAAACCTAAAGGGTAGAATCTAGCTTCTAGTTAATCTCACAGTTGATTCTGAGAGATAATGATGGATTCTCCTTCCTCCATCTGAATATGGTAATTGCCAGCTAGAATTTAGATTAACTACTGACACATCTCTTTGAGTCCTTGAAAGTTGCACAAACTGTAAATTCATTTAAGGGCTTTTATTCTCTGTGGATTTCACTCATGACTGGTTGCTAGGCAACCAGGACTAGATGCTACATGTAATGTGCACCCACCGCTGTTGCTTTATTATTATTATTATTAAACAAAACAGTTTCTCATTTTATTACCATGTCAGAGACATGTATATGTCGGGTGGCAGCTGATGTGCATAGTTTGACACTTCCTGTTCTACAAAGTAACCTTGTGATAACGCCTTTCAAGAATATTGAATTGTTGCTTTTGCTTGTCTAAATGTAATGTTTTCATTTTATCTTCCTTTTGCTTAGTTCTAAATAGGAAATAATATTATTTGGTTTGAGAGATTTTAATAATAATTTTGTTAGAAAAAAATTGATTTGCATGAACTGTGTAATTTAAATGTTACCTAGAGGCGGATGGACATTAGGAGGTTGATACCGAGATCATTATTAGGTCTAATTTTGTTTATTGCCTCTAATGAGGAAAGAGGAATGATGAGTAGCATTTTAATTAAATTTGTCAATAAAACTAATTTGGGAGATAATACAAATACCTGTAAAAATTGAAGTAGCAATACAGAGAAATTCTCAAATCATTTTACAGGATTTAGAGACTCAAAGAGAATTAAGGTAACACTGCCAATCAAATAATCTAGAATATCACTTAACAATATATATTATTTTGAGACTGCAGAAGTGATGTGTCCAAACTGTTTTAGTTGAATCCAATTCTCAAGTACAGAAAAATATCGTGCTTCAATATCTTATGGCAGTACAACTGTGTTTTTAATTCATTAGTATCGTCCATTCACTCATTAATTACTTAGTGCCCGTTATGTGCTTAGAATTTAAAGAAAACACACAATCTCTGTTTTCAGAGAGTTGGGTTTGATTTCATTTGAGAGACAGGCACTTGAACAAGTTATAAAATTTGTATCATTTTCTATCAGAATTAAATACAATGTACATAATTTTGTTAATTGAACTGTCTCCCTCGTGGAATTATCTCCTTAAGTAATCGGGCCATAACTTAATTGTTTTGGTTTCCATGCATTCTAGCACAGTGGCTCACAGTGGGAGCTCAGATTGGACTGAAGTTTATTCCTTTTTTGTTGTTTTATTCTTAGTCAGCTTTCTCAGGCTGAATGGACTGAACTGTAATCTCACTTGAGGGATAATATTGTCATTAACTAAGAAGGAGAATAAAGAAAGGAAGACAAGGCAATTAGGGAGTGAATATGATGCTTAGATGGTAATTTCAGTAGTTTCAGACATTTTAAGCTTGAGATACCTATGGGGACCTATGTGGGGGATGTTTAGTAAGCAGTTGAATACAGACCCACAGTTGAAGAGTGAGGTTTACATCAGGGAGACATTTGCTAATCATCACTGTGCAGGTCTTGGTTAAAATGAAGGGAATGGTTGAGATCACTGAGGAAGAGAGTATAGAGAGACAAGAAAAGGGTGAAGGGTTCTGAATCGAACCCACAGAATATCAGCGTTTAAATAACTTGTGATGGGCAGTGCGGGAGTTGGGATATGAGAAACCGGTAAAAATACCAGGGAGGAGCTTTGAACAAAAAAGGATAGTGGTATGACGGGTGCTAATGGTATGGATACAAGTCCAAGTCTCATGAGGATTTGAGGAATAAATAAGAAATGAGGCTGTGGAGATATAGGTAGTAGGCTACTCTTGGTAGAGCTTAATTCTGAGGACATGTCAGGAAAAAGGACTGCATCTGTGAGCTTCATGGTTGAAGGAAGTGTTTTATTTTTTCCTTAAGATTGGTAAGATGAGCATATTTACAGGTTAAGGCAGAAATGAGTAGTATGGGAGTAAGAGGGAATAATTGAAGGGGCAATGTTTTAGGAGGGTTAGAAGGGGATAGGCCAGGAAATCAAACTGACTGGAGTTTAAAAAGTACTTTCCAATCTAGCTTTTTGGTGCATACTCAGAACAATCCAGTGTGGATGGTAGATGGTTATTTATCATAATCCCTATTTTACAGGTTGGTGATGGAGCCTCATGATGTTCTCATTAAGAAAACCTAATTTTTCTTTTTCTTTTTTTTTTTTTTTTTTGAGACAAAGTCTCACTCTGTCACCCAGGCTGGAGTGCAATGGCATGATCTCAGCTTACTGCAACCTCCTCCTCCTGGGTTCAAGCGATTCTTCTGCCTCAGCTTCCTGAGTAGCTGGGACTACAGGCATGTGCCACCACACCCAACTAATTTTTTAGTTTTAGTAGGGATGGGGTTTCATCATGTTGGCCAGACTGGTCTCTAACTCCAGACCTCAGGTGTTCTGCCTGCCTTGGCCTCCCAAAGTGTTGGGATTACAGGTGTGAGCCACCATGCTCACCGTGCACCAGCCAAGAAAACCTGATTTTTCTAATGAAAAATACTGCCTTTCCCTCTCCTCAAAAGAGATGAATTAATTATTTCATAAGACTATACCATTTTTCAAAATTGGTACCAGGAACTTTTCTATTGGAAAAAATAAAATAACTTAGACTTACAATAATATAAAGTTTAGAGAGAATTTGTATAAATCGTTATTTCTGCTTTCACCAAATTGCATATGATTAGATATGTAATCTAAGGAGCCTGCATCTCATTGTGGCTTTACTGTCATTCTCATGGTTGTATATCACTGCATTTTCTAGGGTAAATTATATCGTTCACTGATTTGGTAGTTTGGAGATACATAAAGGTCTTGGAATATGTTCCCATGAATGTAGAAGTTTATTGTAAATAAGTATCTTTGCTATCCTAATGATGCTACCATGGGATAATATTTATAAAAATGGCATTAGGCTAGCAAGTGTGCATGATAAAGATGTTTATTTTTATTTATTATCTCACTTATAAATATGAAGTATAAACAGGTACAACTAGAGAGGAAAACTTGCAGCCCATATTATACATGTGATAACTTTTAGTTGTATGATTGAGAATTTTTCCCCCTTAAAAATAACGCCTACAGTGTATGTATCTTCCTCCTTTATCCCTTGACTTCAAGATATGAAGTGCATTGGGGGACAGCATATTATAAGTCACTGTTATAAGTCACATATTATAAGTTGCTATTATTGGCTGGACGTGGTGGCTTATGCCTGTAATCCCAGCACTTTGGGAGGCTGGGGCAGGCAGATCACTTGAGGCCAGGAGTTCAAGACCAGCCTGTCTCTACTAAAAATACAAAAATTAGCCCACTGTGATGGTGCGCACCTGTAATCCCAGCTGCTCAGGAGGCTGAGGCAGGAGAATCACTTGAACCTAGGAGGCAGAGGTTGTAGTGAGCCAGGATCATGCCACTGCACTCCAGGCTGGGCAACACAGCAAGACTCTGTCTCAAAAAAAAAAATTGCTATTATTTAATGTTTTGTCATTAAAGAATAACTCATTTTTAAAATGTGTATTTGTCACACCACAATTTTGTGAGCATATTTCAGCCCAAGAATGAATTAGAAATCAAACAAAGATAAAGCAAGCTAAGACAAGTATTACTTATAGTAAGTACTTGGACTGCATCATATCGATTAACTTTTAGTGCATACTGATTTTGCAAGCAGATGTTTATACAAACCATTATTTTAAAATCATTTAAAGTAATAAAAGCATCTTCCTTCAGTTGGTATTATTACTACTTTTGTAACATTCCTTTTCCGAAGGCAGTACATTTTGTTAATATGCACACATGTCTACTTATTTTTCTAAAGAATATGCTTTCACAAATTTTTTATCAGACATGTAATCTCTGTAAGAAAGCTTTTCTTACTATCCAAAGTGGTACAGCTATCATTGTTTTCTTTTTGAATTAGTTCTCATTTTGAAATCAGAAAATTGTGTGGGCATTCATGTGTCTATTGTGGTAAATATGAAAATAAATGCCAGAAAATGGTTTAGTAGATAGGGGCTTCATCAGTTGAGGGCTGAAATGAAAGCCTCATTAGCCTGGTCCACATGCTTCAGTTGTTTGTTAGCTCTTTCTCATCACCTGTTTCCAGTCTCTGGCCGTACCTTGAACATTTATTTCCTTTTCTACATGCAGCAGCACAAGCTTTTAGTTCACTGATTATAGTGAAGGTTTTCCAGGTGCTGTGTAAGATATTAATAAATTAGAATATATTGTTTTCCATTGTCACCTTTGAATTACAATTTTTTCACATCTGTATGGAAAATGTTAATGCCTTCTTAGAGGTATACTTGTGAATAGTCAGCATTTTGTTAGAATCAGCCGGTTGTGTTAAGGGCACTATAATTGGTACTGATTATGTACAAAAGAACTAATAGATGTGGTCCCTTAACTCAAGATGCTTATATTTTTAAGGGGAAAGAGGACCAAAATTTATAAATAGTCCCCCGCTCCCCACCCACACACATACCCAAAGCTGCACCGGAATAGTTGCTGCAAGTTAAGTAGATAGTAAAGAGAGTGATAGGAAGTCTTGTGAGAAGCAGTATCTGCATGTGGATTATGTTACAAATTTAATGTCATTTAATGTTTTTGGTAAAATGTATAGTCACAATATATAAAATCACCTCCCTCCCTAATGCAACCAACACTAAGCTTCTTTTGTGAACTTGATGCATACTTTAATTATAAAGTGGTTAACTTTTAAAATTTTCACTTAATGTGTTATAACTAGGTAATAAAGTAGAAAATTGATTTTCATGACTCCAATTTTAAGTATCTGCATAATAGTCAATCAAGAATAGATATATCTACTTTTACTTAGCCATTCCCATTTTATCAGATATGTATAGCTTTTGGGATTGAATAAACCTGTGGCAAAAAATTATAGAATGTGAACAGTTTCTGTGTGTTCAGGCAAAGTAACTGAGAAGAAATACTGTAGTAACTTTATGTAGAAGGAATTGCATCATAGATGTTTTCCAGCAGATCAGATGGAGGTAAGAACAAAGAACAGCAGCAGCCTAGGTGGTGTATAGCTTTGAAAATACAGGGAAGTTCATTAGTCTAAAAATGCCATCTTGCCCAAGTGAGAAAGTGGCAGATTTCTTAACAAGTGAACGAGTGACTTGAAAAAGGTGGAATTGAGGAAGCCAAATGTTAAAGCTTATTAGCGTGTGTAGATTAGAGCCTTTATAGCCATTTTTTCAAACACTCCTTTAGAATATTTAAAAATCACTCATGTCATATGTCTGTGTGCATAAGTACATTGTATATATATTCCCTGATATTTAGCAATGACACTAGCATTTTTATATAAAGAAAACAAAACAAAGAGTGACCAGTGTATTAGTTTTCTATTCCAGCCTTAACAAATGCCACACATTTAGTGGATTAAAACAATGCCCATTTATTATCTCACAGTCTGTAGGTTAGAAATTGGACATGGGTCTTGCCAGGCTAAAATCAAGGTGTCAGCAAGGCTTATATTCCTTACTGGAGGCTCTGGGGAAGAATTTACTTCCAAGGTTATTTAAGTTGTTGGAGATCCTGTTTTTATGCTGGCTGTCAGTTGAAGCCTGGTCTTTCCTCCTAGAGGCTGCCCACATTCCTTCTCATGCTTTCCAGGATTTCCTAGAGGCCTCTGAAGTCCTTGCCTGTGGGTCCCATCTCAGAGCCTTCCCATGCTTCAGATCTCTCTAATTTATGCTGCTGTGTCACACTGCTTCCAACCTGAGAAAGTTTTCTGCTTTTAAAGGCCCATGCGATTAGATCAGACTACAGGGATATCCAGGATAATCTTTTCATCTAAGATCCTTAACCTTAATTACATCTGCAGAGCCCCTTTTACCATGTAACCTAACACATTCAGAGGATCCAGGAATTAGAGCATATGTGGAGGGTCACTGATTCGGCCTCTTATAGTGAAGGTTTTCTTTTGAGGTGGGAGTATGGAGTGAAAACAGCTTTTTGTATCACTTTTAATCAATTTTACATGTAAGTCACCATTCTTAATTCATGTAGAATACTAACATTTCCTGGAGTTTTGTAGCTAATTTACTTTACTAGTTTAATATATCTTAAAGTTGAAAAAAGGTATAAGAAATGAGTTCTTAACAGAAATATAAAAAGTTACTGATTTTCTTTTTAATGATATTGAAGGAAGATAGAAAAATCTTTCCTGTCTTATCAACCAGCTACCTAGAACAAGGCAAATAAACACTGCTGTAAATAGTAGACTTTGTAATGAGGTTACATATAGTGGCTGAGATGTACTGAGGTACTTTGTGTGAGAGCTGTTCAGTAATACATGCTCACACACCTTTTAGCATTCTAAGAGTTTGTTTTATTTATTGTTTATTGAACACATATTAAAGGAACTCTTACTGGTTGCCTCACATGATGTTAGGTTCTAGGGATACATTTATTTCTGCCTTTGTAGGACTGAATAGTTATCAGTAAAAAGAGAAGTTTAACTAAAGTAATTATAATAAATCATGATGACTCTTGGCATAGTGGAGGTATAATAGTTTTAATATCTGCAGTTGTTAAATTTCCTATTCTTCACTCATTGGGTTTCTTTAAAACATTGATCACTCTCTGGTTAAGTTATAAAGGAAAATTAGTGATTTTACACTGTGTTAGTCATAAAACACTAACAGTACAAAATAATAATGATGTTATGGGAAATAATATTCTTAAAAGGCCTGAGAAAGCATTGTGGCAGTATTTGTGATATATTAGCAACAAAAAGCAACTTGTTGAATGTTATGTAATAGAACTTTCTGTGATGATGGAAGTGTTCTATACCTGTACTGTTTAATCCAGTAGCCAATAGCCACTTACAGCTATTGAGCATTTGAAACATGGCTAGTGCTACTAAAGAACTGAATTTCAAATTTTATTTAATTTTATTTAATTAAAATTTTAATTTCAGCAATCAATTTTAGTTAATGGTATCTGTATTTGGTAGTGTAGTTCCATATTGTATTTGAAATTTATTTAAATAATTACATATTTTTAAAAAATCATAGTAGTGGGGCTTAGAGTTTCAAATCTGAGGTAGCCCTGGAAAAGCTATATGTATGGAGCTGTTATAAGCAATTGTGGCCACTGAGGGTCATGAGGCTCCTAAGTCAGGGCAGCTCTCACATGTACTGGTGGGGATTTTGCCTCTGTACCTGAATGAATTGTCCACCTGTGCAGGACTGTGGTAAGGATTCCATGGAAGAGGAATACTTGAAGCTGCCCAGCTAGCAAGCTGTGATTCCTGTCCTGGATCTTTCCAAGTAAACTGATGCCACAAGGGGTCTATGGCATAGTCTTGTGAGTCTAAATGTTTAGTTAACCTAAGAGCACCCCCTGGCATTCCAGAACCAATTAACCTTTATTTACTCAGAGTAAACACAAAACAAAATTAATAAATTGAGCTGAGGAAAGGCAGACTACCAAGACTCATCAAAAGTTTAATGCACTCTCAATTGTTTCTAATTACTATTTGGAAAGTAGTGCTAGAAAGGATAATACAAGATGAATTTTAAATGCCCACTTTTAGTAGTGGTATCTTGGTTCTTGACTTACTGCATACATACAATCTACCAGGAACAGTCATCAAATGTGTACAGTGGTGGAAACAAACAAAAATGTGTATAGCGGTGCATCTTCTCAGGTCTTATTGAGGTGTGTCCTTAATCATCCAATGTAAAGTCACTCTCACAAGTGCTTTATAATATTTTCTCACTATGTTATGTTTTCTTCTCAGCAACATCACTAGTTGGAATGATCGTTTTAATTTGTTTGCTTGTTCAGTATTTTTTTGCCTAGGGTATGAGCTCCATTAGATGAAGGAATTTGGCCATCTTGTTTACCACTATCTCCCCATTACTTATAAGAATGGCATAATAGGACCTCAGTAAACACTTGAATGAATGAATAAATGAATGAATGGATGAGTGAATTATAGAAACTGTCAGGTTAAAAAATTTTACCTTTAATTCCGTTTTCCAAGCTGCTAAATATTGAGACTGAATGAGATGGTAATTTGGACAAAAAGCTGATGGATTTTCTGTTATTTCCAAAGGATAACTATGATAAAGAAATGCTTTTTATCTTTGTAGAAATGTACTACTGTTTTTATCTTTTGTTTTGGGACATAGAACTCTTCTTTATGCAATCAGGAACTAATCATGGAGGACAGAGAGTACTTACTATTCCTCTGTGTGATCTCAGAAGTGCTCCCTCTTTTTCTTACCAATGACTTATTATTGGGGAACCTGCCCCGATATTCACATAGGTTCTTTTCTATTTTCCTTAAGCGTCAGCCAGCTTGAGAAATAAAGGGACAGAGTACAAAAGAGAGAAATTTTAAAGCTGGGTGTCCAGGGGAGACATCACATGTCGGTAGGTTCCGTGATGCCCCACAAGCCGCAAAAACCAGCAAGTTTTTATTAGGGATTTTCAAAAGGGGTGGGAGTGTGCGAATAGGTGTGGGTCACAGACATTAAGTACTTTACAAGGTAATAGAATATCACAAGGCAAGTGGAGGCAGGGCGAGATCACAGGACCACAGGACCAAGGCGAAATTAAAATTGCTAATGAAGTTTTGGGCACCATTGTTATTGATAGCATCTTATCAGGAGACAGGGTTTTTGAGATCAACAGGTCTGACCAAAATTTATTAGGCAGGAATTTCCTCTTCCTAATAAGCCTGGGAGCGCTATGGGAGACTGGGGTCTATTTCAGCCCTGCAGTCTCGACCATAAGAGATGGCTACGCCCAGGGGGGCCGTTCATAGGCCTACCCCCAGGCGGGCATTCTCTTTCTCAGGGATGTTCCTTGCTGAGAAAAGGAATTCAGCGATATTTCTCCCATTTGCTTTTGAAAGAAGAGAAATATGGCTCTGTTCTGCCTGGCTCACCGGCGGTCAGAGTTTAAGGTTCTCTCTCTTATTCACTGAACAATTGCTGTTATCTTGTTCTTTTTTCAAGGTGCCCAGATTTCATATTGCTCAAACACACATGCTGTACAATTTGTGCAGTTAATGCAATTATTACAGGGTCCTGAGGCGACATTCTCCTCAGCTGACAGGTTCAAGAGATGAAAGTAAAGACAGGCATAGGAAATCACAAGGGTATTGACTGGGGAAGTGATAAGTGTCCATGAAATCTTAACAATTTATGCTTAGAGATTGCAGTAAAGACAGGCGTAAGAAATTATAAAAGTATTAATTTGGGGAACTAATAAATGTCCATGAAATCTTCACAATCCACGTTCTTCTGCCATGGCTTCAGCCGGTCCCTCTGTTTGGGGTCCCCGACTTCCGGCAACAAGTTATTCAAATGTTGACCACTTGTATTCAAAAACAAAACCAGAAACAAAACTGTTACATACCTTGCTCTTTTGATCTATGAAATGAAACCCTTAAACATTATGAGGCATTGTCAATGGCTATGTGAGACTGAAGTGGTGTATAAGGAAAGGATGTAATGTGACTGTTGGACTGTGACTTTTAATAATAATCCTCATTAACTGTTCCAGCACCTCCTACCAAAGCTCCCAAAACATTGTGGCAGTTATTGGGGAACAAATGTGAGGGGATAATCCTAGAATGCCATAAATGTGTAATAGCTCATCTCAGTAGCATTCCACATTGTGTAAATTATTTGTGGGGGAATGGGAAGACGTTGTCCATCATTTTAACGTATTAATTTTGCTGGATGTTGGAACTTTATTCCCTCGACCTTTCACTTTTTCATGACTAGCCTATTATGAATCCTTTCTTTATTGTAGTCATTTGACTATCCTGGACCCAACCCAAAACCAAAACCATCTGTATTTGGGTTCATCATATTACTAGAATATATACTAAGAATATAGAGAGTAAAGGAACATAAAATTTTTACTCATGAAAATAGATATGTTTGTTGGGGGTCTTAAAGTTATATGGTGAAAATACCAATGTAAAGCTGTAGTTTGAATATATGTTACAGGGGTGTATGTGTGTATTTTACTTTTAAAATCAATTTTATTGAGGTACAATTTATACACAAAAAATCCACCCATTTAAAGGGTATAGTTCAATGTCTTTTGACAAATGTACAGATATTTTTATAGAAAAATGAGATGCAACTTTCACTTATCTTGGAGTTCATTGGATTTTGGTTATAACTTGAAATAAATAGGAAAATATGGGCCACATGGGGAAGATGAGGGAAACATAAAATAAAGTAGCAGTTGTACTATTTATAGTTCCTACCTGATATGGAAACCCCTATGGTCCTGATTTTTATGGATATTTTAGCCTCTTGGAATCATACAATTTCTCCCAGTTATAAAGAAAAATAGATCTTACACTGCATGTTGTCTGATGGTAGTTTTCTGTGGAGACATTTTTTTAAATAAAGTTGAATAAAATTTATGCTTGTGGAAAAATAATCTACATTCAACCAATTTAAAACAGAATTTTATTGATTGTGTTCTCATTTGGAATAACTGCAGGGAAAATCACCTGGGCTAATACAAGCTGGATATCATTTACTACGGATTTAGCTGGAGAAAAAAAACCCAAACTCATTTCAATTTCAGTGGTGACAGCTGTTGACTGAATTTTCCTGTGATATCCTTCACCACAGGAAATGATATATTGTAGCTTTGGTTCCTTTGATTTCCTACCCACCCAACAAATCCAAAGTGCAGGGACTGTGCTTTCTAAATGTCTGAGTGGCTTAGTTTATGTGGATAGGGTTTTTTTTTTTTAACACCCTAAGTGGGTAAAATTGTGATTGCAAAAAATAGATATATGGGTAATGTACAGAAACATTTATTTCCTCTTCCTGAATTGTTTTTCCATTTGTGCTATTATTACACCTGGCTTTATGTGAAAAGGCTGTATTGGAACTTGGTATACTTTTATGGAATGATGTAGGAGATTACAGTTCATTTTGAAAGATGTATTAGCTAACATTTTAATGGTCCAAATAAATATGTTTCTTTGATGCAGAGATCAGTTTTGATTATTTGTGATGCTTTCTTCACTGCTTTTTTATTTTATGCTAATTTAAAAAATATGATAAACTATAACCTGTCAGATAGAAAGGAGTAAATGGTGTTAACCTCTTTAGGCTTAAGAATACTGGGAAATGCTTGACAAAGAATGGAAATATGTTTTATATGTTATTGTTTTATGAATGTCAGAAACTCTGTCTGCTGGTGGGGAGGGAGGGCAGAGAAATACCCCCTGAGGATGAGGGAGGAACTCTTTCCACTCTGGCTTAGGATTTTGCTGTAAGCCACATTTGCATCCTGTCTATTATGGCTTCTTACAAATGAGAGAATGGACAGTTGCAATTAGGTATTGAGGTTGAGGTTGGCCAAGCAGCCCCAAAGCCTCGCAGATAAACATGTCACAGCTTTCTTTGTCCCCAGAGAAACAATTCAGGTTACCGCTAAGCTAATCAGAATTCAAGATTGCTTCCCTAATACTATAAATGGCAAACTATGACTTAAATATAAAAACTTGATTCCCAAGTAAAATGTTGTAAAAACAAGCACATTTACAATAAACTTGAAGCACTTCCTTTAGTTGGCCTAATTGCAGCCTGTATTTTGTTTATGACTGGCAGAGATTAATCTTAGTGTAGCAAATAGAAGTCAGGGCAAGTCATCTGGCTATTCTATAGGTATACCAAGTCCTCCAGCGAACTATTTGATTGTTTTATGTCATTGTGTCCTCACTATACAATAATGCTATCCAGTAGAATCATAATGAGAGCAACAAATGTAAGCCACATATATAATTATATATAATTTTAAATTACTCAGTGAAATTAATTTTGATAACATACCTTATTTAACTCTTATTCAAAATAGCTTTTATTTATTTTTTTAAGAGATGGGGTCTTGCTCTTTTGCCCAGGCTCAGCTACTTGAACTCCTAGGCTCAAGTAATCTTTCTTCCTTAGCTTCCTGAGTAGCTGGGACTACAGATATGTGCCACCACACCCAGCTCAAAATATTTTAATATGTAATCACTATGAAAAATTGTGAATGAAATATTTTACATTTTATGTACTAAGTCTTTGAAATCCAGTGTGTACTTTGTACTTGTTGAACATCTCAATTTAGTTTAAGCTACATTTCAAGTGCTCAATGGTCACATTTGGCTAATGGATACTACATAACAGTAAAGCTTTATAAAAATGGATTTCATTTAAATCTCTACTGTTTAAGTTGAATATTTGTACTTTGGACACTTCCTAAAAATGTAAATATAGACTATAATGATAGACTCACAAAATCTTCCAGATATCAGGTTATTCAAGGACATCTAAATTCTCCTATTAATACTTTGAGGTTAAACATTTTATGTGATAGTATGAAGAAGGTTGGAAGGAAATTATTTTTTCTAGTATTCATAGGAAGAAATTGGTGAACGTTAAGAACAGAGAAAAAAATCCAAAATGTTTAAGAATAATAAATTTAGGCCGAGATGATGATGATGTTTATTACAATTTAAGTGAAAAATACTGTGATAAACACTACAGACGTTTCATTTGTCCTCACAACAACTCTTTGAGAGCAGCACTTTTGTGATCTGTTTTATAATCCCTGTTTTACCAGTGATTAAGATGAAAGCAATTAAGAAATCTTTGCAAAATCACACAGATAGTGACTGTATGCAAACTTTTGCATGACTCTTGAATTCTGAAACTTACCCTCTTAATCACGCTTCTCTATTTATTGCCTGGTTCTTTTATGCCTCCATGATTGCCTTGGGCAAACTGGACATGGAGAAATTATACAAATGAAGAGAAGTTGCAGCCAACTCCTAAAGTGTTGCAACTATTCCACTACTTTCTGTTTACTCTGTCAAATTTTCATCAGTAGTCTGAAAAGGAGAAAATGACTGGCGTTGTAATCACCCATGAAAAGCTGACTTTTGCCCTCCCATTTTGTCAGTAATGCCTTGTGGCATTTATGTCACAGTAGTGGAGCTGGTGAATACCACTCTTGGAGCTGAGGTGTGATGATCCATCTTCTGCTAACAATCAGTGCCACAGCATGAAAAGATTATTATTATTTTTCTTAACCAGCTAATCTTGCCATGAGACCCATAAATCCACTTTCATGTAATTTCTGCTTTTTGTTTTCAACTCTGAGTTTCAAGACTCAAAAACAATTCCCTGTTGAGTACCTAAGTGCTCATATTGATATTCCTGGTACATTGAACAGGACTTAAATTTCTGTTGTTTCTACAAAGTCCAGGAGTAGGTCTGCCTTTCACTACAATTCACAGATCAGATGTGTGCAGATGTATCTGTTTCAGATTTATCCTTTTATATATCCATGGTATTTTTGCTCTGTACATTAGACGTTTGTGAGACAGTATTTGGGGGAAACTCTAGTTTAGTGTGGATGTGATTAATTATGCCTTGCTGTCTTGGTCATTCCCCAACCCCTGCATTCTCCAAAATTAGATTGATTTAATTGGATTTAAAATGGGATCATTTAAATTTGGTTGCGTAAATATGTGTTTTGTATGTTTTGAAAGTCTTAACCTTTCTCTTTTCAGCCTATAAATTATTGAAATTCTGTTAGCTTTATAATTTTCTGTTTACTGTGATTTTAAGCTATATTGGAAAACTAGCCATGCTGGCCTCTTATGTTTAATGAGTGAGATAATATGAGAGGGAAAATTCCTCAGGTGCGACTGTGTTTTAATTAAGTTTTATGTAAGTTTATTGAACAAATGCAACCATTAAAAGATGCTTTTGGCTGGGCACGGTGGCTCATGCCTGTAATCCCAGCACTTTGGGAGGCCGAGGCGGGCTGATCACCTGAGATCAGGAGTTCAAGACCAACCTGACCAACATGGAGAAATCCCGTCTCTACTGAAAGTACGAAATTAGCCAGGCATGGTGGCACGTGCATGTAATCCCAGCTACTCGGGAGGCTGAGGCAGGAGAATCACTTGAACCAGGGAGGCAGAGGTTGTGGTGAGCCGAGATCGTACCATTGCACTCCAGCCTGGGCAGCAAGAGCAAAACTCCGTCTCAAATTTAAAAAAAAAAAAAAAAAAGGATGCTTTTATATATTTTGTGTATCGTGAATTCTCTTATAGCAGAATATATAATTTAAGACCATCACCTCAAAACAAAACAAAAACACCAGATTACTTTTGTGTAGGCAGAGTTTGTTATACACAATTGCAAAATTCTGTTTTCTTAGAAGGCACTATTATATGTACACTTAGGTGTTTAGAAACCTGGAGAAAACCTCAAATTTTCATGAAAACAGAAACTTAGCACTATATTATTACAAAGGAAGTAGGACTTAAAGGGGTTTTTAAAATTATATTTTAATGGCCTTTGATTAAAGACCTATCTCAGGACCTACCTAATTTCCTACCGAATTTCTCCCCCACCCCCTGCCCACCTGCCTTTGCTTGTGTTTTTTCTCTAACCTAACCTCTTCATCTATAAACTACTTTTTAGAATTTTCTTGGCTTTGCTTCTCTTTTCTGCCCCTCCATGTGATAACCCTTCAGATTCCAAGAAAAAGACTTTATTATTCCAAAATGCTATGCCCTTATCACATTCTTACTTTAAAACCCCTTCAACAACCTTAATAAACTTTAATTACATACTTTTATGAACCTGGTCAAAATGTCAGAATGTTTTAATATATTCAACATTGTTAAACTACAAATGATAAAGATATTAAAACAACCAGGTCTTTGACTTTTTTTGTGATTATCACATCCTACTTCTAAACCTCCAAGCTTAAATTATTTTCCGACTACAATCTCTAATTCTTCCACTTTACTCCCTAGTTGCTCATTCCTACTGATTGTCATCTTCCTTTCATCCCAGACTTCTATTTCAGTTCCCCAAGTTCACCTCCCCCTGTGGCTCAGCAGGCTTCTCTATTCAACCTAGACCTGTTGTCTGGCATTTCAACAACATTCTAATAACATTCTAGAATCCTGTAGTCTGTGTTTCTAAAGCATAACTCTCTCTATTCAGTGCCATTGTATTGCTCAAAAATCTTTAATGCTCCACATTGCCTACCTTCTCCTCTCACCCTTCATTTAGAAGAGACCTCCCCTCTGCGGGCTTGAGGAACAATTGTTTTGAGCATTGTGGCACTCATCACATTATCCTCCCTGGACTATGTCTGGATCCTTCACTGCTTGGACCCTTCCTTGGCCACAAAGGTGCTTAATAAATGTACGCTGAGAAATAGGGGGGTCGTACAGGGATTCCTGAAGGTGTGTGCGTGGTGTTTTTTTGTTTGTTTGTTTTAGTAATTAGAATCTTTTACATCCAGATAAGGACAACAACAGGGATGTGGAAAAAAAGTGTCTTATAGAGAGAGAATCTGACAATCTAGTGATATTAGAAAAGTAGTTTGTCCTGGGTTTTATGCATTTATATGGTTCTGTTTCGGTAGTGAAGGTGTTTATTTTGCTGTTACAGTGCAGTAATTGTTACATTTTAGCAAAAATACACTATATCCTTTTACAATCCAGTGTCTTCAGTTAGATTTCTAATGTAATTGAATATTCACTGAACCACATCTTTATTGTTTTCACTACTTTTCTATAACCTGAGAAAACTGATATTTCACCCTTAATGCCTTTCACCTGATACTTTAGCAAATAAATTATGCATAGGGAGTGTAAGTAAATCACTGCAATTCCTTATCCATTACCACACATATTTATGGATGAAAAAAATTGATGCATAGCTTGCCTTGTCTTTTTTCCTTTTAAACTTGTGGAAAATTAGTGGCTAAACTGAGAATTAAGGAAATCAAATTCAGATTTTTCAAGATTCTCTGATTAATCAAACATTGCCCTTTATATTTGGCAAAATAGTCGTTAATGACATAATTTGAATTTTGTGACCCATTAAAATGTTCTTTGGTCTTCTATATTGAAAAAATGGTATTTGTGTTACATCTCACTTTATTCTTTTATGAAACATTAGGAGTAGGAAAGTTTTTATGCTTACTGAATCCCTTATTTAAAAAACTATGTTGGTGACAGTGAATGTCTCTCAAAATAAAGCTGTGAGTATTTTAAATGGACAGAAAACTGTTTTCTGCTGGGTTTGCATGTGTTTATAGATGTTGAAGCAATTAGAAATGTTTTTTGCATTTAAAAATGACTTTCTGTGTTTTCCCAATATAATTACTAAGACATGTTCCCTCATAAAATCGATCATTTTCAAATCATGAAAATAAGAATATATTTTGACAATTCATTAATATAGCAGCTTCATTTATTTGGCAGCAGTATGATAGAAAGCTGGCGCTGAGCTCTGAATGGAGAAGGGTGCGTCTCTTTCCCTGGCTACCTGTTAGGATTCTCCTTTAGAACCATCTTTTGGCACTTCCAGGTAAAAGCCAGTTTCATGAGCAAATGTGAATTGCTTTTAAGGGTTTTTTTATTTTATGGCAGCATTATTTGTTTTTCTTATACCTTGATTTTTGAGCTTCTGTCAATGATTCATTATTATGAGGAAAAAACTGTTCACCTGGAAACATTGTAAAGATGAGTGAAGAAAATTTATTATCAAAACTTGTATTTTCATAATTTCTTTGTAAGTTTATTCCTGAATTACAGTTTTATTGTTTAGGCTAAATAGTTTTTATCTTGTGGAAAGTGAAATCGTGGCTTGGAAGCACTCAGTCACTCAGGCTAGAAACTGATCTGTTATTCTTGACTTTTCTACCTCCTTCATCAAAGCATATCCATTCTTTTCCAGAAAATTTCCTGAACCCATCTATTGCCTTCCTTTCTCCATCGTTACCACTACTTTACTCAGGCTCTCACCTTTCCTCGCCTGGATGTAACATTGCCTACAGTATTCTTCCAGTTAGTTGCCAGTCCCTCCCCTTTCTAATTATTTCCCCACACTGCTTTGTTTCTCAAGTGTAAACTGGATTATGTCAGTTCTTGCCTCACATATTTTTCATGATTTTTCACTGCCTGCAGAGCATGGGATACAGGCTTCTCACCATCTGCCTTTCTTGTGTTGTATCTAACAATCCCCCTGCCCCCCAGCTATCCTTAACTAGTTCAAATAGGTTTAAGTAGCTGTGATGTTTATTATCACTTCCTCTAATGCAGACATAAGTAAGCCTTTCTGATTATAGATGAGTAGAGGAGAAATGTCATTCCTAATTCTGATACTTGACATCTTCATTTCTATCATATTCTTCCCCACCCCCATGGGTTCCATACTTGCCCACACTAGGCTGGTGGCCTTCTTTCTGTTACGTATATGTTTTTTTATAGAGTTTTTATTTTTTATTTTTGAGACAGGGTCTCAATCCCTCATCCAGGCTGGACTGCAGTGATGTGATCATAAATCACTGCAACATCAAACTCCTAGGCTCAAGCAATCCTCCCACCTCAGCCTCCTGAGTAGCTGAGACTACAGGTGCGTGCCACTACACCCAGCTAATTTTTTTTTTTTTTTTTTGTAGCGATGATGTCTTGCTATATGTTGCCCAGGCTGCTCTCTAACTCCTGGGCTCAAGCGGTCCTCCTGCTTTGGCTTCCCAAAGTGCTGGGAATAGAGGCATGAGCCACTAGGACTGGCCAAAAATATTTTTAGAAGTTTGATGTCTACACAGTTTAAGTCTACTTATATTCTCTCTGTAGGCATTTATACCAATAAAGTCTTTGCATTCATCGTTGCTAGCATTCTCTTGCTTTCTTTTTTTCCTTGAAATTTAGCCCTTTTGTATATTCTAGTGAGGTGTGGAAGAACAAGCATTTTATACTGTCATTTAGGCAAATGTATATGTCCTCTTTATATGTCTTCTCTTTGTACTTAGTATAGTATGCATTAATCTGGGCTGAGAACAACTTCCTTGTGGCATAGTAATCATTTGGCTTCATTTATTCAATAACTATAATTCTGTTTGTACATCATTTTACCATTTATAGAGGCCTTTCATATTTGTTTATTTGATCTGAACAATCCTGTTACATCATTGTAATCACGACCTTCAGCTGATAGACTAAGAAGCTGAGACTTATAAGGGTCAATGGCATGGCCTAGTACTTCCCAGCTGGGTGATGGCTCCTCTACAGGATCATGCTGTTGTCTCTCTTACAATCCTGTCATTTCTGTACTTACTGGTCAAGAATGCAATTGCTCTTTGTGCTGGAGTGTGCTTTACTGATTTTAATTAGCACTTTGGATACATTATTTCATTTGATTTCCCAGTATTTCTGTTAATTTAGGCAGGGCTGGCATTATTAGTGCCATTTTACAAATAAGGATGATGCAAATCAGAATGGTTAAGTGACTTGTCCCAGTTTGCAGAACTGGTATTTAAAGAACAAAAACCAGCCGGGTGCAGTGGCTCACGCCTGTAATCCCAGCACTTTGGGAGGCCGAGGCGGGTGGATTACGAGGTCAGGAGGTCGACACCATCCTGGCTAACACGGTGAAACCCCGTCACTGCTCAAAAATACAAAAATTAGCCGGGCGTGGTGATGGGCGCCTGTATTCCCAGCTACTCGGGAGGCTGAGGCAGGAGAATGGCGTGAACCCGGGAGGCGGAGCTTGCAGTGAGCCGAGATCGCCCCACTGCACTCCAGCCTGGGCGACAGACAGAGCGAGACTCCATCTCAAAAAAAAAAAAAATAAAATAAAAAACCCAAGAACGTGTCTTCATACTCCTAGCCTACTGCCATTCCCAATGCCCCATGCTGTAAGACATGTTGGAAAAAGAAATAACATTTTTATTCCTGAGATTTCACTGAAACAATTATCTGGTTATGCTGTGTACTAAAGTCTAAAACATTAAAGTTAAATGGCAGCTATCAATTTAACTTTGCATGAGTTTTATATGCCATTGTGCTACTGCAATTAATGGAATGCATAGAATCCAATAACACATTGTCAGAAAGGTGTTACTCAAGGGAAAGATAATTCAAGGCAAGGGAAAATAATACAAGAGGAGATGTGTTTTAGGATATGGTCTCATAGGGGAAGAAGAAGAATTTTTTCTTCAAGTCCTATAGGTTGGAAAGGACCCATGTAACAAAAGACAGATTAATAGGAGAAAAACAAACAAGTTTATTAACATTTTGTATCAGTTTTCTGTGCTTATAACAGAATATCTGAAATTGGGTAATTTATAAAGGAAACAAATTTATTTCTTACAGTTATGGAGGATGGGAAGTCCAAGGTCCAGAGGGTGCACCTGGTGAGAGCTTTCTTGCTGGTAGGGACTCTCTGAAGAGTCTTGAGGTGGTGTAGGGTATCACATGGCGAGGGGGCTGAGTCTGTTAACATGCCAGCTCAAGTCTCTCTTCCTCATTTTGTAAAGCCACAAGTTTCCTTCCCATGGCAACTCATTAATCTATTAATCCTCTATCCATTAATCCCACCTCTCAATACTGCCACATTAGGGATTAAATTTAAACATGAGTTTTGGAAGGGACAGATATTCAAACCATAGCACATGTGTGTGCTATGGAAGACATATGCATGGAAAACATCCAGAAAGTAAGTAGTTCTCAAAAAAGGTGCTTTCAATTCAAGTTTACGTAGCAAATTCAACTAAGAGCAATACATTTCTAGAGAAGTGACATGGCAAAGGAAAAGGACTTTGAGTCTCTGGTGGCAGCAACTTGTGAGAAGGCAAATAAATGGCAGATAAAGACCAGTTGGTAAAGCTTGTTCATATAGTTTCCTCTGGTATCATCTCCACATAATAAGAATCTGAAGTTATCTTCACTGATCAACCTTTGTTCTCACTGGTAAAAGGTGGGCAGGATGACTTTTGTCTTTGTAAATCTGTGTTTTGCTTTTAGGCAGATAGAGGGAGGGCAGAGAGCTTTCCTGAATCTGCTTCTTCTTAAATTGCCTTCGCTCAGTAATCCTTCATATTTTGGGGGTGGCATCTTCTGGTTTCCCTCAGTATTAGTCTACCCATTCTGCTCTCAGAGTAATTCTCAGGTCCTTCTTAGCCTGTAGAAGGAGGACTTGTAGGGAGGGGAAATCTGTACCTTTTTTTTTTCTTTTTTTTGATACAAGGTCTTACTCTGTCACCCAGGGTGGAGCATGATCTCAGCTCACTGCATCCTACACCTCCTGGGCTCAAGCCATCCTACTGCTTCAGCCTCCTGAGTAGCTGGGACTACAGGCACACACTACCACGCCTGGCCAATTTTTGTATTTTTTGTAGAGACAAGGTTTTGTCATGTTGTTGCTTAGGCTAGTCTTGAACTTCTGGGCTCAAGCCATCTGCCTGCCTCAGCCTCCAAAAGTGCTGGGATGACAGGTGTGAGCCAGCTATATTGTGGTTTTGCTTCATAATCCATACCCATTGTTTAATCAGTAAAATTGATTGATTATGGAAACAACAGCCTGTCTACAGAGCATCTTGAGCGTATATGTGGTTCAGCAGGAAGAATCTGTAACTGAGCAGATAGAAAGTAGTATCTGGATTTTTTGTTTGTTTGTTTGTTTGTTTTTTTGAGACAGAGTCTCGCTCTATAGCCTAGGCTCGAATGCTCAGGCATGATCATGGCTCACTACAGCCTTGATCTCCCTGGCTCAAGCAATCCTCTTACCTCAGCCTCCAGAGTAGCTAGGACTACAGGCATGCCACCATGCCCAGGTTTTTGTTTTTGTTTTTGTTTTTTTTTAATTTTTATTATTTGTAGAGACAGAGTCTTACTCTGTTGCCCCGGTGGAATTCTTTATGATCATAATGACTCTTCACTCCAGGGTTTCCCTTTAGTTGTGGTATTTGTATAATCTTTGGTTTGATTGTGAATTTCTATGTAATCTAGCAGCTGTTTTTTGCTATGTCACACCTGCATGCACCTGAGTCTGTGTTCATGGAGTTGGACATGAGTAGTGTGTTGTGTGAAGGAGGTGAAACATTACTGAGGTGGGTGGCTTAAGGTAGTATATACCAAGTTATGTTTCTTAATTTGAAGATAATCATGCAGGAAAATTTATTATAGGGAAAAGGATGATATGGTGCAGTGAAAAAATGGGGAATTAGGAATCAAAAGGTTTGAGTTCCCACTGTACTGCTGACTTGCTTTCTGATCCTAACAAGTTTCTAACTCCTCCAAGCCTCCATTCATCAAATGATATACAGAAACGCTCTTTCAGGGTGTTGCAAGGATCTAATTAGAGGCTATTGAGGACTCTTTGTACACTGTAAAATGCTATTCAGATATTATTTATTTTAATAAACAGTGATTGCTTTATGTCAGGCTCTTTAACAAAAATTCTTACAATTCAGACCTCCTATCAACACTGCAAAGCAGGCATTATTATCGCCATTAGTCAATAAGGCACCTGGCATACAGAGAGTAACTAAGTAACTTGCTCACCTACTACTTTTAAGTGATGATTCCCAATTTAAGTTCCAGCTGCTTTTTTGCTATGTTGTCGTGCTGTTAATAAAGGATAAATGGTAGAGGTTTGAACTTTAACAACTTGGATTATGCTTCTAAAAAAATGGAAGTGGTGCTCTAGACTAGGAGTCAGGAGGTTCAGACTGTTACTATATTTTTCAATTATTTTGGGGTAAGTTACTTAAATTAATTTCATTAAATACGTTTAAAACACTTGGCTATGTTTCTGCTAAGGTTTACATGTAAAATGCTTTCTTATTTTAATCATATTCATAATTTTAAAAATTTCCTTCAAAGGGATCAAAAGTATTTTGTGAATCTGTTTTAATATATTTTTTTCTTTTTTTAAAGTCATTCCTACACTGGCCAAGATTACAGTACCCAGGGAAATGTTGGGAAAATTTCTTTAGATCAGATTGATTTGGTAAGTAGAACATTCTTTTAAACTTAGAACTTTATCAGTGGAGAGAACATAGATTTTCTTAAATCAAAGACTTTTGGGTGAGGAGATAGAATACTATTTCACTGCTTGCTGATTAATTTTAAAGAAAATCCCATGTCCTACTTATATGATTTTAAAAAAATCATAGGAAAATCATTTAATCAGAAAATTATCTGTACTTTTATGAAAACCGAATTTAATCAACTATTCCAAACAGGAATTCTTTTAAATAGCTAAATGGAGTTTGTGTTTACATTTAAATACTGCATACATTTAATAAAGGGGAAATGGAAAACACTAAGTGTATTAGTTTGTTGGGGCTGTCATGACAACAGAAATTTATTTTCTCACAGTCTAGAGGCTCGAAATCCAAGATCAAAGAGATAGTAGGTTTGATTTCTTCCAGGGCCTTTCTTGTCTCACAGATGGCTGCCTTCTCCTTGTGTTCTCCTGTGGTTTTCCCACTGCTTGCATACATCCCTGGTGTCTCTTCTTTTTGTAAGGACACTGAGTATGTGAGACCAGAGCCCCACCCCCATGGCCTCCTTTAATCTTAATGAGTTCTTTAAAGGCCCCATCTCTAAATATAGTCACATTTGGAGCTACTAGAGGTCAGGACTTGATATATGAATTTCAGGGGGAGAGGACAATTCATCAACTAGTGTAGGCTATGAGATTAATAGGTAGCTTATTTTAGCATCATTTGACTTTGTGGTTCCATAGGGTAGTGTACTTTGCCATACTTGTAGAATTTCTCTTTAATACATAACAGCATTTGCACTCCATATACAAAGGGAAAATAAGCCAGCCATAAATAATCTTGGGTTGGACGACTACCAAATTATTCACAATAAATTAAAAATACACAGGGATTTTAATGCTTGGAAACAAGAACTGTAATAAGACTAATAGAGAAAGACCGTGAGGTTGGATCAGAATGAATAGGTCATCTTCCATTTGAAAAATTACAAAAAAGTACTTGCAGTTAATATGTCTAGAAATAACAATAGGGTTGCCTACTTTACACAGTTGATTTGTTGATTTGAAATTTGTTCTCAAAGATGTCCCATCTTTTAATTTTTTTATTAAACACTTATCTCTAACAGTCCCCTTTCTCACTTCCACTCATGTGATTTGTGCTTATATAATGTGAATGGTTGGAGGTTAATTCTGTTCTTAGTTCTAGCTAGATGTTTCCCCATTCACAAGCAAATGTGAATTTGGTTGGATACTGTTGGAGTTCATAGAAATATTAATTCATTTAATGGATATGTATTGAGCCCATCAGTTATGTAGCAGCCATTGTGCTGTGGATACAGAAGTGAGGAAAACAGAAAATGTCCCTGCCTTCATGGACCTTACATGAGGGAGAGGGACAACATAATAAATAATGAGCAATATAATGTTAAGTGCTATGATGATGATCCTGTTATGGGTCTGTTCCTGAGACCCCGTGGTGAGTAATACAGATGTATCTTTTTTTGGACTGCCTCCTAACTCTGTATCTATATTGTTTGATCTTCACAACAGCATGTCATTTGCATATCCCTTGGTATTTGCAACTCTTCTCCAAATGTTTTCTTTAGTTTTTTCTTCTAACAAATCTGGCTTTCTCAATGCTGTTTCCCCTGTGGGCCTCTTCAAGTAGAGACAACTTTCCCCCCCGAGTTCGTATATAGGTATGCGGTGAGTGTCTTTCTTGGTCCACATTTCTCTGCCTTCCATTGTTACAGTTCCAGCTCCTTTAAAGCCCTTGTGATCTTATTATATCATCTGATACCTCCTTTGTTGCTATTCCACCCCCTCCCCCCACACCTGTATTCGTTGATGATTTGAACACCTAGCTAATGGTCTTGTGTACTGGCGCTATTCTTATTATTGTTCTTGGCCTCTGCAAGATCCAAGTTGATAATTTATCCCCTATCCTGGACTTATGATTCTTTTGTTTGCTTGTTTTCCATGATCATTTTTCTATCTGTATATAGCCAGACACTATCTTTTTAATTTTTATTATTTGGACTACTGCCCACACCTCTTAAGTATCCCTCCTGCTTCCGTTCTTACTCTCATACAGTCTTTTCACTACATAACAGCCAGAGTTCTCTTTGTTTATTGAATCACATCAGTCTTCTGGTCAGAACCCTCTAGTGGGTTTTCATCATATGTAGACTTAAATCCAAACTCATGTTGAGGCCTCTGAAGCCATATGTGCTCATCATTTCTATTTTATCTTCTGCTCCATTCCGGCTCACTCACTTGCTCTGGTCACATGGATCTTATGTTCTCTTTTAGCACACCACGTTTATTCCTTCTCAGGATCTTCATTTCACTAGCATCCAACTTACTTTGTCTTACTTGAAATGCCATCTCCTCAAAAAGGCTTCCCTGGCCACCCAAATTGAAGTACTTCTCCCCTAATCACACTTGATTTCATTTCTCTATTTCACTTCCAGTGTTTTGGCATCAGATGTTATCTTTTTAATGTCTGTATTCATTGTCCGTCTCCTCCTATTAAAAATAAGCTCTTCGAGGACAGGGTTTTTGACTTCTTTGTTCACTACTGGTTCCCCAGGGCTGTACACATAGTAAGTGTTAAATAAATATTTGTTGATTGAATGAATAAGAAGTAATCAAGGAATGTGCCAAAAGAAATAGAAATTGAGTTGGGTCTTGAATGATGACTTGGCTTTGGCTACATGGCATGTGCATGAGAAGGGTGCGCCAGGCAGGGCTAGCAGAGTGAGAAAATTGAGAAGCTACAGAGCATGACTGTGTGGTCATGGGATAGTGAATAATCCAGTGGACTGGAGCCGAGGACTCATTTTGGTGTAGTGATAATATACTGGGCTTTCCCAGGCTCCCTGTCACAGTGCTTCTGTGGTGCTCAAGTTTTGCCCTTGTTGGAGCCCTCCTTTTATCATTTATTTCATGTGTTTAACTTACATAGTAGTGAATATAATAATTGTTGTGTCTTTTTCCTTAACTGAATTAAAGGGGACAATTAGGTCCCAGCTTATTTTCCAGAACACTTAATAAATAATTGTTCTGTTATGTATAATTGAAAAGTAGTTATTGGCCAGGCACAGTGGGTCATGCCATCTAGCCAAGGTGGGAGGATCACCTGAGGTCAGGAGTTCGAGACCAGCCTGGCCAACATGGTGAAACCCTGTCTCTACTACAAATACCAAAATCAGCTAGGCATGTTGGCAGGCACCTGTAATCCCTGCTACTCAGGAGGCTGAAGCAGGAGAATCGCATGAACCTGGGAGGCAGAGGTTATAGTGAGCTGAGATGGCACTGCTGCACTCCAGCCTGGGCAACAGACTGAGATTCCATCTCAAAAAAAATAAAAAAAGAAGAAAAAAAAAGAAAAGTAGTTACCAGATATTGAGGAAACCTTGCATGTTCATACTAAGGATGTTGAATATTGATTGTATGGATTAGAACAATGTTTAGAAAAAAATCAGATATTAATATGAAGGAACAAAAATGGTCTCATGAAAATGAGCTGAAAGGCTTTCTAGTTAGTTCTACCAAGGGAGGATATAGGTCTGAATGAACTAGACTGGGGATGGAAACATTCAGAAGTTGTTACTGTAAAAGAATGAAGAGAAACTAGATGGTCACTAGAGGGAGCAACAAAGTCAAGCAAAGTGAGACCTGCTCTTTCTTATAGATGAAGTGAACTTGCTAAGGCATATGTGAGGGAGTAAGAATTTAAGTCTTGGGAGGTTATTTAAGGAAGTCATAGAGAATGCAATTGAAACTGTAAGTGAAAAATTAAAGTAGGCAATGATATTTCATTTTTGGCACTAAGGCACTAACTACACTTTGTTCCTTTTAACTTGGTTTCTTTAACATACTTATTTGAATTTTCCTTATGAGAAGTTTCTCTTATTTTTGTCTTCTGCTTTGTATTTAAGTTATCTTAAAAGTTCATCTGCTATTCAGTAATTGTACTTTTATCTCAGGGAAATGAAATCTTATGTTCACATAAAAACCTCTTAAAGAATGCTCATAATAGCTTCATTTGAAATAGCCCAAACTGGAAACAACCCAAGTGTTCTTCAATGAGTGAATAAATAAATTATGATACATTCATACCATGGAAAACTAGTTAGTAATAAAGAAATGAGCTTATATACAACTTAGGTGAATCTTGAGGGAATTCTGCTGAGTAAAAAACAACAATCTCAAAACAATACATATTATATGATTCTATTATACTCTTGAAATGACAAAATTATAGAGATGGAGAACCAGATCAGTGGCTGCCAAAGATTAGGGAGCTGAGGGAGGGGAGCAGGGTGCAAAAGATAGATGGGGGTGGTTATAAAATCATGAGAGATCCTTGTGGTGACAGAACTGTTCTGCATCTTGACTGTGGTGGTGGATGTATGAACCTACATGTGACAAAACTGTATAAAATTTAATACGGAAGTAAGTGCATGAGTACAACTGAGGAAACCTGAATAAGACTAGTGGATTGTATCAATGTCAGTATCCCGTTTGTGATAATCTACTGTAGTTGTACATGATTTTATCTTTGGGGGAATTTGGATATATGCTATCTCTTTGTATTATTTCTTGTAACTGTATGGGAGTCTATAGTTAACTTCAAAGAAAAAGTTTAATTAAATTAAAAAAACAGGTAAAATAAATTTTAATAGTATGTTATTTAATCCAAAGTATCTAAAATATTATATTAACTTGTAACCAATAAAAAATGTTAATAAGAAACATCTTATACAGATAAGAGTCATCTGTAACCACAGTAATAAAGTGGCACTTTCTTATGGTGTTTGTTTTTTTATTCCAATTACATTGAATTAGCAACCATAACAAATATTACAGGGGACCTGATAAGTCTTCCACTTAACTTAAAACTCTACTGTTTTTTCTTGTAGCTTTCTACCAAATCCTTCCCACCTTGCATGCGTCAGTTACATAAAGCCTTGCGGGAAAAATCACCATCTTCGTCATTGAGGCCGAATGCAGTATGACCTATTTCTGAAGGGCATTGGTTTAACTTTGGAACAGGCATTGTAGTTCTGGAAGCAAGAATTTATCAAAGGAAAGATGGATCCAGACAAGGTAATTTTGAAAAAAAATATCAGAGTGGTACCTGATATTTTAATTTGCTCTGAAAATGAAACGGTCTATTTTTTTTTAAAATATGCTCCCTGCAGTGTAGTTGAAAATTCTAAAAGGATAAATGTGTTGACAATTCAGTTTAGATAAAAAGAAACTTGCATATTAATCTAATATAAAAGATTGGGAAAGGAATGTTTTCCTTTGTAGGTATACTGCCAGTAGTAATTATAAGACTGAAATTGCTTTCAGAGTTATATATCTGTAGGAATGTATGTGTGTCTATACATATGCACATAATGTTTTGAGCACTGGGAGATATCATGAACAAATAAAATGAAACAATTTAAAATATTTTCTATTATGTTATGCAGAATCTTTTATAAACTTTTGTTTTTTTTTTCGAGACAGGGTGTTCTTCTGTTGCCCAGGCTGGGCTGGAGTGCAATGGTGCAATCATGGCTCACTGCAGCCTCGACCTTTGGGCTCAAGTGATCCTCCCACTTCATCCTTCCCAGTAGCTAGGGCCACAGGTGGACACCATTATGCCTGGCTAATTTTTTTCTTTTTTTAATTTTTTGTAGAGATAGAGTCTCACTATGTTGCCCAGGATGGTCTCAAACTCTTGGGCTCAAGCCGTTCTCCTGCCTTGGCGTGCTGAAGGGTTGTGATTACAGCTGTGAGCCTGAGTCATCATACCTAGCCTATAGAACATTTTTAGATGGACAATAATTACTATAAACCTGAACAACTTTTTAAAAACCCTATCTGCAGTGCTTATATTCCCAATCCTATGCCTTATTTCTCTTTAATAGTGCCAGCTAATAACATTTTACTTGGAAATATGATTTCTTGCCCCTTCTATGCCATGACACTGTGGTATGAAGACCATTTTTTACTGTTTATTTCTTGATTTGCTGCCTCCTAAAAGTAAATTATAGAAGAAAGAATATTTACCAGGTACATTTTATAGTACTTTATTATGTTTTATGTTAGTTTGCAAGCATTGCCAAAATAAAATACCACAGACTGGTTGGCTTAAAAAACAGAAGTGTATTTCCTCACACTTCTGGAGGCTGGAAGTCCAAGATCCAAGTATTGGCAGATTTGGTTTCTCCTGAGGCCTGTCTCCTTGGCTTACAGGTGGCCTTCTTCTTGCTTTGTGCTCACATGGCCTTTTCTCTGTGCATGTGCATGCCTGGTGTTTCTTCCTTTTCTTATAAATACACTAGTCTTACCGGATTAGGGCCCCACACTCATCTGATCTCATTTAACCTTAATTATCCCTTTAGAGGCCCTATCTCCAGTTACAGTTGGATTTGGAGTTAGGGGGTTCAACAAATGACTTTTAGGAGATCACAATTCAGCTCATGTCTGTAGCTATATACTTTATTAAAAAGCTTAGATTTTTAAAAATAACATTATAAAAAGCTGTTACAGTTTTTTCAGATTTGTTTTAAAAACTGTCTTCATCGACAATTATCCATAGAATCTTAATGAAGTCATTTAATAGGATTTTCTTTGAGCAGTTTTGGATAATGTTTTTTATATTTTTTTAAAGGTAATTTATTCTAATTATAGAAAATATAAAAAATACAGAAAAATTCACCTGTTATCCTCCAATTTGAAATAATCACTGTCAACATTGTAGCCTTTTACTCTAGTCTACAGAACTAAACACCACTGATTTTCACCATTCTAAAAATTGTCATTATATTATGATTATTTTTCCATATTTTTGACCAATCTTTGAAAATATCTTAATGAGTTACATAATATATCCTTTGAAAGTGATGTAATTTGTTTAATCATTCTCCTATTGTTGGACATTTGGTTGTGTCTAATTTGACTCTGTTATATATGTTACTAATATAAATAACAGAGTCAAATAGCTAATATCCTGTGGACATAGATAATTGATTATAGTTTTGATTATATTCTTTGTGTGTGTGTGTGTGTGTGTGTGTGTATATATATATATATGCATTCACCAGGAAATAAAATTATAAGAAACTACACACAGCTGGGCAGGTTGGCTCACGCCTATAATCCTAGCACTTTGGGAGACTGAGGCAGGTGGGTCGCCTGAGGTCAGGAGTTCAAGACCAGCCTAGCCAACACGGTGAAATACCGTCTCTACTAAAACTACAAAAATTAACTGGGCATGGTGGAAGGTGCCTGTAATCCCAGCTACTGGGGTGGCTGAGTCAGGAGAATCACTTGAACCTGGGAGGTGGAGGTTGCAGTGAGCTGAGATCGCACCACTGCACTCCAGCCTGAGTGACAGAGCAAGACTCCATCTCAAGAAAAAAAAAAAAGGAAACTACACACAATTTTAAAGTTTTAATGCATGCTGTGAAATGACTGTTCAGAAAGGTTTTAAATTAGACCCTCTTCAAGCGATGTGAGAATTTTGCTCTGCCATTGACATCATTATGCATTATTAATTTAAAACAGTTTTTGATCTTTTTATTAGGAATTTGATGTCTTAAGTAGGTAGATATATTAGGGTTCTCCACAGAAATGGAACTGTGTGTGTGTCTGTCTTTCTATCACTTACACATGCACACAGACATACACACACTCTCTCACACACACACACAGAGTGAGAGATAGAGAGAGAGATGGGGGTTATGGAAGTTGACAAGTCTCAAGATCCGCAGTTGGCAAGTTGAAGACCCAGGAGAGCCAATGTTGTAGTTCTAGCCTGAATCCAAAAGCCTGAAAACCAGAAGAATGATAGTGTACAAGGTGATCCTTGAAATACACAGGTGTGAACTGCATGGGTCCACTTATATGTGGATTTTTTTCAATAAGTATATTGGAAAATTTTCTGGGGATATGCAACAATTCGAAAAAACTTGCAGATGAACCACATAGCCTAGAAATATCAAAAAAAGTAAGAAAAAATTAAGTATATATGAATGTATAAAATATATACTAGTCTTATTTACTAACATGAGATATACAGAAATTTATTGCAAAAAGTTAAAATTTATCAAAACACATGCACACAAATGTACAGACCATACATGGTGCTATTCCCAGTAGAGAGAAATGTAAACAAATGTAAAGATGCAGTATTATCTTTTATGCAGTAACCTACATAAAATTAACTGTAGCACATTCTGTGCTACTATAGTAATTTAATAGCCCCACCCTGTTGCTATTGTGGTGAGCCTATAAGTGTTGCAAGTATCTGCTTAAAACGCTCTGTGATGCTAATCATCTCAGCGTAAGCAGTTTGCACAGTAAATTGTATATTACAGTAAAGTGATCTCTCACAGTTCTCGGGTATTTTTCATCGTGTTCAGTGCAATATCATAAACCTTGAATAACACCGTGGGGCTCATAGGAAGTGTCACTAGTAATGCTGGAAATGCTTCCCCAAATCAGAGAAAAGTAATGATATTACAAGAAAAAGTTGAATTGCTTGATATGTAATATAGATTGAGGTCTCCAGCTAAGGTTGACTGCTATTTCAGACAGATGGTTCATCTTGTAAATAGATAATGTAAACTTATGGTATTGATCAATGTAGTACAGTACTGTAAATGTATTTTCTTATGACTTTCTTTCTCTTTTTGTATTTTTAGTTGAGACGGGGTTTCACCATTTTGGCTAGGCTGGTCTTGAACTCCTGACCTCAGGTGATCTGCCTGCCTCAGCCTCCCAAAGTGCTGGGATTACAGGTGCGAGCCACTGTGCCTGGACTATTATGACTTTCTTAATGTTTTTTTTCTCCAATTTACTTTATTGTGAGGTTACAGTGAATATATATAATACAGTGAATATATGTAATATTCAAAATATGTGTTAATCAGCTGTTTATGTTATCGGTAAGGCTTATGGTCAACAGTAGGGTTTTAGTTGTTAAGTGTTTGGGGAATAAAAAGTTATACATGGATTTTTAACTGTATGGGGTGAGGGGTGGAGGTTGTTGCCTATAATCTCTGTGTTGTTCAAGGGTCAGCTTTAGTTCCAGCTCAAATGCCAACAGCTTCGAGACCCAGGAAGAGTCAATGTTTCAGTTTAAAAAATGAGGTCCCAGTTTAAGGAAGTCAGACAGAAGGAAATTCCCTCTTACTCACAGGAGGTCAGGCTTTTTGTTCTGTTTAGGCTTTCAACTGATTGGTTGAGAATTATTCACATTAGGTAGGGCAATCTGCTTTACTTTAACTACCAATTCAAATGTTAATCATATCCAGAAACACCCCCTCAGACACACCCACTGTAATGTTTGACCAAATGTCTGGGCATCTCATGGCCCAGTCAAGAACTGGGTTGTTGTTGTTGTTGTTGTTTTTTTTTGAGACAGAGTCTCGCTCTGTCACCCAGGCTGGAGTGCAGTGGCACAGTCTCAGCTCACTGCAACCTCTGCCTCCCAGGGTTCAAGCAATTCTCCTGCCTCAGCCTCCCAAGTAGCTGGGATTACAGGCATGCACCACCATGCTCAGCTAATTTTGTATTTCTAGTAGAGATGGGGTTTTGCCATGTTGCTCAGGCTAGTCTTGAACTCCTGACCTCAGGTGATCCACCCGCCTTGGCCTGCCAAAGTGCTGGGATTACAAGTCTGAGCTACTGCCACCATGCCCAGCTGGCGAGCTGGGTTGTTTTGAAGTGAAAAGAGAGAAGTTGAGCTAGCATTTTAGCTTGGTTTGTGCTGTAAACTGAGAGAAGAAAAAGCAAAGTAGAGAGGGAAAACCAGCTGCACCAGCCTATATGGATTCTTACCCTGAGTACTAAGTCTTTGGCTTGGACACTTGTTCATTGACCTGCCTTCTTTTATGTACATCTGGAATAGCCTGTGTAGCAATATCATCAGTAGTCTTTTAACTTGTATGTTTAAATTTTTTTATTATGGAATTTTTATTTTGCAATGCAAACTTTTTTCAAAAATTCTTATAAAAGAAAATAAATAATTTTTTTAGTTTTCTAGATAACATATAGTCTATATTTTTGTTAGCTTATTAATTACAGCAAATGTTATTTTAACTAAAGGATTATAAGACACATTTCTGACTTTCTATGACTATTTAGTGTTCTGTTGTTACATAGTCCGTATTGTAAATGTTCATGTTTTTCTCAACTATATCGTTTACATGTTTTTTCAATGACATGTAATAAACTAAGGCATACTAAATTACAATATTCTCTAATTGAACCATTGTATCTATTTGTTAAGTGATACATACAATTAAAAATATTCTTAAGAGGTATAAAAATTGTTGGCTTAAAATACTGCTTATAGGATATTTTTTAGGATGATTATAGAAGATGTTAAACATTTATTATAGTGTTAATTAAAGGACTTGGGTGTTGAACCCAGCTCGAATGATTTGAAATAACAGCTTCTGTTTGGACAGCTTATGTCCTAACAGTGTAAGAAAAGTGATGTGGTAACAGTCAATTTCAACTGGAATTTTTCTGTACTATTGTTTCCCAAATGATCATAATGTCTGATTTCTTTCTCTTAATATTTGTGTCCTCATTGTGACTTATTTGGGATACATTGCTATGTGAGTCTGAGCAAATATTTTGGGTACTTAGCCAGTACTTTTGAGTCAGCAGAGACTGGTATAATATCTCCAGCAATTTTGAGCTCTAACTCTGCAGCTACAACTACCTTTCCTAGATATACTGCCTGGAACCAAATATTTCTTTACCCTAACTTCGAACGCAGCTCTGTTCTTGAATTGACTGCCTGATTGGTATCTGTCTCTTCCTCCCATCTTTACTTACTTGTGCTTGTTGCAGGCATTTTTTTTTAACACTTTGCTTTTAAAACTAATGTTATACTTAATGTTGGAGGGGAATGTGTTGTCTGTATTCTAAAATAATTTACACCTGTATTAGTGTTTGTAACTGTCATCCAAAGTATAAATATTAAAGTATTGTGTCTCAGATACCTTTTATTAAGGTTAAGCAGTTTTTGTGTTATAATGCACATAATTTCTGTTATAAACATTTTTGAGTAGTAATAATGGATTGTGGAAGCAGCTTAAGGTTCTGATGCTCACTGTTATTTTTTTATTAGGAATTTGATGTTGTAAGACTTAAAGAAGGAGGAAAGAAACATGAAAAAGCAGCTCAACAGTCAAAGACAGGTTTATTTTGGAGAATAAACCTGAGTGGGGCTTCTGGCCGAGTTTGGTCAGTAATGCTGTCTCTTACAGACTGAGAGTATTTATTGGTGAGAGAGCTTGGAATGTTTCTGTGTGGGGGAGAAGTTTATGGCAGGGTTGGAATGTCTCTGGTCGGAGAGGAGATTATGTTGGGGCTGACATCTCTCCAGCTGGAGGGGAGGTTATGTCGGGGCTGGCATGTCTCTGGTCAGGGAGGGGTTTGGTGTGTTTCTGGTCACAGATGTTATTTGTGGTTTATGGTCATGCTGACTTTAGCCATTAAGCTGATGCCCTTTGGATTTAGGCAGTTTTTGATCAATGTAAATTTTAAAATGACGGTGCTTGTCCAAGACGGCAATGCTCCTGCTCTGTCAGATGTATTAAGTCAGTCCTATATACGTAAAAATTAGCCATCTGTCTATAAAACAGTTATTCAGAGTTACTAGTTTGGATTATTTTTCTTGCCTTTTGAAACTATTTTCCGGCTAGCATATATATTCCAATAAATGATATTGGTTATTTGCTACCAGCTTATGTTCTTTTAATTTTGGGTGCTTATGGCTACCTTATATTTATTGCTTATTTATTCATTTATTATCTGTATCCTACAATTAGAATGTAAACTATATAAAAGCAGGTATCTTGTCTTTCTTGTTGACTGCTGCATGTTCAGGCACCTAGAACAGTGCCTGACTCATAGCAGGCACTCAATAAATGTTTATTGAATAAACTAATACATGGAAATTTCCATATTATTTACATAGAAATAAATTCTCATACATGTTCATAGATATTATTTATTTATATTTTGCTGAATACATGGTAAATTCTACCAAATCTTTAAAGTTTGGCTTTTGATATGAGAAAAAATAATCTTTATCTGTTTTGGTTCTTTTTAGATAGAGCTGTTTCTAACAAGTTATAGAATTTAAGTCATTTTAGTTGCTTTTTTATTTCTAAGAGCAGTAGATCTCAGCATCAGCATCATTTGGGAATTTGTTAGAAATATAGATTCCCAGAATCAAATTTGTTGTCGTCCATGTATTTTTCTAAATAAAAATATGGATTGGTAGAATATACAAATATACAAATATTTAACATAGTATCATATTACGATTCTTATAAAAAGTACAGAGAAATATATTTGTGTGTATATGTATATACTTAGATACATACATATGTACATATTCCATCTACTTGGCATAGATCATTCAGCCGATTTTTATTGTGTGTTTATCATGAACATGTACCATTCTGAAGATACTGAAATAAAAGAAACAGCCCTTATTTATGAAGACTTTCCAAGACCTTATTTTATTTATTATAATTATTTTTGAGATGGAGTTTCGCTCTTGTTGCGCAGGCTGGAGTGCAGTGGCGTGATCTCAGCTCACCACAACCTTCACCTCATGGGTTCAAGCTATTCTCCTGCCTCAGCCTCCCAAGTAGCTGGGATTACAGGCATGTGCCACCAGGCCTGGCTAATTTTTTTGTATTTTTAGTAGAGGTGGGGTTTCTTCATGTTGATCAGGCTGGTCTCGAACTCCCGACCTCAGGTGATCTGCCCACCTCAGCCTCTTAAAATGCTGGGATTACATACGTGAGCCACCATGCCTGGCCCCTCCAAGACCTTATTTATGAGAGTCTTCCAAGAAATTTATTTGGAAAAACCAGATAAATACAAATGTACAGACAGAGAAAGAAGGGAATTTCATGTTAAAGGGACAACACTTTAAAGGACCTTAAAGTGTAGTCCATCCTGTAGGTGGTAGGAACCTGAACTGTACCAGTGTAATTGTGGCAAGAGGGGAGTCTGGAGACATAGATTTTTTAGCCTAATTACTAAAGATAGATTGAATTAGTAGGCCAGTAGGAACTGGTCTTGTTGGGTAGGTAGGTGCCAACCAGGATCCTGTCAGCCAGGATAGGGTCAATTGGTAACTGGAATTTAGTCAAATATGTGTAGTTTCACAACTTTGAATATTTACTAAAATAATATAATGAATGTTGGATGCTATGCAGGTTTACTGAAAAGCAGAAAATAGTATGAGTAAAGTTTCCACTTGGTTCAAATTAATTTCACCTAACTTTGGATTTCTGATTATATAGGCCAACATTGATTTTTAAGAAACTATTTTGCTTTAAAGTAAATTTAAAAATTTTAATCTACTTGGTTATAGTTTAATTGAGAACGAAGGAATTGGAAAACAGTTCCAAAACACGATGGTAAAAAGGAAAGTTATTATTAAGGTGATGTGGAGTAAGATAGTTATTAGAGTGGATCGTGTTAGAGACCAATCTTGAATTAAGATTTGGAGAAAGTGAATGACATGGATTAGTTGAGAAAGAACTGACAGCAAGAATACACAGTGAACAAGGAATGAGGGGAAAGTAGGCAAAACATTGTTAACTCTTCCATTATTTTCTTTATTTTTATAATTATTTTAATAAAATAATTTTACAGTAATAATTCTTCCATTTATTACTCGTTCACTTAGGCTTTTTATTACCTGTTTTTGGGATTGTTGTGGTTTTGACTGTTGTGATTTAAAATTCTCCATTTCCAGACTTTTTAAATTTACCTTCTCAGTATATTTGAATACTGTTTTATTTAGATGCTTATTATACTTGAGGATAGAGATTTTAGTATTAAAACATCAACCATTTCCAAGAGAACATTCCATTGTTGTATGATCTTATAGCAAACCAATTGCTTTTCACAGTATACCTTACTCCAAAAAACATTGGTTTCATAATGTAGGGTTTTTATCCTTAAATTGTTGAATATTAATATTGATATATTTAAAATGTTAAAATAAAGCTCTTTGAGTTAACCCTTGTCAGTGAAGGATGGAGAAATTTGAAAATTGCACTTAGGTTGCTGAATCAGATTTTTTGGATTTGTGAATGATTCACAAGAAGTATTTAAAGTTTTGAACGTCTTATTCCTGAAATAATTTCCCGTATTTCTGAAATAAATGCACCTATGCTTTATACAAATAAAATTTCATTAGTCAGAGTAAAGTTTTTCATGTTTTTCTTAGTTGTAATTATAATTTACAAGCCTGTCTACCTGAAAAAAGCATCACCCTGGGTGCAAGAGATATAAAATCAAACCTTTATTTATTTATTTTTTATTTTTAAAATTTCAACTTTTATTTTAGATATAGGGGGTACATGTGCAGGTTTGTTAGCTGAATATATTTTGTGCTGTGACGTCATCTCCCAGGTAGTGAGCATAGTACCCAATAGGTAGTTTTTCAGTCCATCCTCCCTTCTGCCTCTAGTAGTGCTCCGTGTCTATTGGTCCTATCTCTATGTCTGTGGGTGCTCAATGTTTAGCTCCCACTTATACGTGAGAGCATGCACAAAACTCTATTTAAAGTATGAATACCATGAAAATATTCTTTTACTTGGCACTTGGATATTAAATCTCTTCGGCGACTAGCTTTGTTAAGTATTACATTGAACTGGATAATTCTTCTAATAAATTCAAAGCATGTGTCCTGTCAGATTGCTCATAGTGTTGTTATTCTGAATTGCTTTAAGCTGGTTTTATTGGATATTAAGTACAACATTGATAATGCACATTTTCTGTAGCTGTGGTTTCTGTCCTTGATGACAGCATGCTTAAGGTCTATTATATGTTGTTATAATTGGGTCAAGGAACATTTAGCACTGTTTAAAAAGCGTATCTTTTCTTCCAGAATCTAGCTTTCGTCAAGACTTAGAACAAACTTGTGTTGTTAAAAATTGACTACTGAAGGATTAAATATTTGGCTGATGGGATGTGAGTATATGAAACATTTATTGTTAGGATTTTTTATTTCAGGGACCACTAGATCTCAGCATCAGCATCATTTGGGAATTTGTTAGAAACGTGGAGTCTCAGAATCAAGTTCTGGGGTCAGGGCCCACAATTTGTGGTTTAACAAATCATCCAGATGAAATTGATGCACACTAAAGATTCAGAACCACTGTTTTAACTACTACCCTGTCATAGTCCATTTTCTAGTGCTTATCACAGAATATCTGAAAGTGGGTAATTTATAAAGAAGAGAAATTTATTTCTTCTAGTTATGACTGAGAAGTCCCAGGTCATGGGGCTGCATCTGTTGAGAGCCTCCTTACTTGTGGGGACTCTCTGAGGAGTGCCAAAGTTAGAGCAGGAGTGCCAAAAGTTAGAGCAGGAACCAGATTTCCTGGTCTTAGCATACAAGAAAATGGAGGCGATGGGAATAGAGTGTGTGTTTCTAAAGTTTAAGAAGTCAGGCAGGAAAGAAATAGAGCATACTAGGTATAGAGGGTGACTGTGCCAAGCAAGGTTTTCAAGTTGGGGTGGGCAGGAGCAGTAAAACTCATGGAAATGGAGGATGTGCTGAGAATACTTGAGGAAACAAGGCCTGAGGAGATGGAAAGAGAATTTAAAACATTTATTTATTATGTGATTATTATAATATGAACCTCTGTTTCCTATGTGATGTTCCCTGAGTGTAGAATTTGTTTCTTTCTTACCGTGATATACCCAGCACTTGAGATGGTACTGACAGATTGTATATGCTCAGTAAAATTTGTTGAATGACTGAAAGAATTGCATTAGGAGTTTAGTTTATCTCACACCTGATGGATATATGAAAAATTATGAATTGGTAAAGGAGTGTTTAAAAGTGGAAAGAAGAGCTGTGGGAGCTCACATCCACTGCTCATCTTTCCAATAAAGTAGGCAGGGGAATCGCTTACCAGAAGGATTTGGTGTATTTAGGGCTTAAAGAAAGTTGAAGAGTCTAGAATAACACCTTCCGTAAGTGTGCTAAGGCATTAATTAATAAAAAAAAAAAAAGATTGCTAAGCTACAGAATGGTTACAGTTTGAGTTCCTAGCATATGCTAGGCACTATAACTAATATTCTACATACACAATTTTATGGAATCCTTAAAACAATCTTAGGAGATAAGTATTATTTATGTTGAGTTTACTAATGAGAAAACAGTACTAGGCTATAAATTTGTAACTGGCTAAGTCAGCACTATTATGTTGCTTTCTCTAGCAGTGTCTTACGGCCTTAGAGCAAAAGCAGAGATGGCATAAGGTAAAGTTTATTCAGGTTTAGGAGTTAGCAAAGCAGGCATGCTGCTTTAAATTCTTCCTATGTTTTCTGTTTAATTTAATCTCACACCACCACCATGAGGTAAATATTATCTTCCTTCGATGGAGAGTTTAATGCGTTTTCCTCAGGCAGCAAAGGTGGTACATGATCAAACCTGGGTTAGACCCAGGTCTATTTTATTCCAAACCCTGAACTTCTCCCAGTACTCTCAGAAGGAACACTAGACTTAGTGTTTAGGTTGACACTGATAATGATAACTATGTAAACTTAAGAGAACACAATTAACAATAGAGATTTTTCCGTTCTTGAGGACAATAGTAATGTCTGCTAAAATATTGCAAAGAATTAAGTATATATGCGAAATACTATGTAATCTGTAATGTACTAAAGAAATATTGAATAATTTTAAAATGTTGATAAAGGGGTTATTCTATATCAGTCACATTTTCTCAATATATTTGTAAACCTGTTAACTTCTAGACACAAATATTAGTTTTCTAATTGCCTATGTTTTTGTTTTTCTTTCAAAGCAAAGCTTGTTTTGTTTGAATGTTCGTGTTAGTGAGATCCTAGGAAAGTAATTTGAATGTAATGAAAAAAATAGTTTCTTATGGCTCACGCCTGTAATCCCAGCACTTTGGGAGGCCGAGGCGGGCAGATGACCTGAGGTCAGGAGTTTGAGACCAGCCTGACCAACATGGAGAAACCCTGTCTCTACTAAAAAGACAAAATTAGCTAGGTATGGTGGTACATACCTGTAATCCCAGCACTTTGGGAGGCCGAGGCGGGCAGATGACCTGAGATCGGGAGTTTGAGACCAGCCTGACCAACATGGAGAAACCCTGTCTCTACTAAAAAGACAAAATTAGCTAGGTATGGTGGTACATACCTGTAATCCCAGCTACTCGGGAGGCTGAGGCAGGAGAATTGCTTGAACCCAGGAGGCGGAGGTTGTGGTGAGCTGAGATCTCGCCGTTGCACTCCAGCCTGGGCAACAAGAGCGAAACTCCGTGTCCCCCCTAAACCCCCCTCAAAAAAAAGTTTCTTGCAAAAATAGTCTAATATTTGTCATTATTATTTTTGGGCAGCAATTTTAAAGGTACCCTTAATAGCTACCAAGTCATCTAAAACATATTTTTGAAGCTTGATTGCAGTGAAATTTGTTATATTCTCTCTTATAAATATTTTGGTGTATAATAAAGATATGTGTATTTTAAGGGTTTAATTCTTCTCTTGATGCTTTCCATAGCATGTGGAATACCAATTCTAGATTACACAGTATAAGAATTAATATTTAAACATTAACTTGAACAGGTTGGGCTTGCTTTCATGAATTGTCAAGAGGCTAGCTAGTCAAAATTCAAATTAAATTATGTATTGGGTTAAGTCTATCATTAGAATAAAACAGGTGTTATTATCCTTCTCCTAACACTATTCTGGCAAAAATTAGCTTTAGTAAATTTAATTGCTCTTGATGTTGTACTCCAAATACTTTTTAATTCTTAAATTATGGAAATAAGATAAAAAATAGAAGACTTCAACTCTGTCATTCATTTATAAATGTCATTTTGCCAGTGATACCTTATGGATTATGCTGATATATTAAAATGAGATTAAAAAATAAAATGACATTTTATTCAACATTTTAAAAGGTGGGTCAAATTTTTGTTGCTAATATATGTGGTACTCTTAGGGGAAAATACAATAAAATATGTATCTTCTTAAGATGCCAGTTTAAGATATCAAGAGTATGTTTTAATTGGCCATATCTCTGGACAAATTGGGTACATATAAGCTCCAAAATGGGTCAGACTTCTGATACTGAAGGATTTTTCTTTGGAAGATTTATTAATAAAGATTAGGAATCTCAGGGGCTTGAAGTGTGGGGAAAGTATATTCTTGGCTTTCTTTAACAACCTGTTGTGTGTTTGTCACCCATCTTTTGCCTGTAAATATTTGTTGAATTTATTATTTTGTTTTTACTTAAAAAAATTACTTTGAACCATCTTTCCAGTTTGTTTACTTCTATGTAAAGTAGGATTTTATTTTATTTAAAAAAATAACCAAACAGTTATTTTGCACCTGCCTGTGCGCATTACTCTTTATAGTAAGAGAATATATAAGTTTAAACTGTTGTGGGGACCCAGAGAATGGTTGGGTTTAATAGCTTTAATAGTGCGATTGTTGTTGTTGTATGCAGCTCAATCAGAAAAGCAGGAATCCTAATCAGGAAAGGGCTAGAGGGATGTTTACTCAAGGGGAAATCTAGATGGTTACTGTTCTGTATTGATAAGAATGTCACCTGTTAAGTGAAGTCAGCCTTTTAATTGAGAATAAGTTCAGAGAAGGAGACACAAAAACTCAGATTTAAAAAATTTGAATGATAAGGATGATATTGATTAGGCACCCTACGAAGTAGATTGCTTTTCGACTTTGATCCCAGAATAAGCTTGTCATTTTCTTTTGTACTATCTCAGACATAACCTGCCTTTTCCTAGGGGACTGTTTAAAGAGTGTATTTTGTTCATCCATTCAACAAACATGGAGTGTCTACTATGTCCCAGGCGGTCTTCTAGCTACTAGAGGTATAGCAGCAGTGAACAATATAGAAAAAAAAATTAAAACTCTGGAGCTTACATTCTGGTTGAGGAGAGACAGTAAACAAGTAAGTGAATTATTGATATATTACTTGGTGATTACTGCTATGAAGAAATTTTTTCATGCAGAAGATAGGGAATGCTGTTTAGTGCCTGGATGTGGTTTTAAATAGGGTGGTCATGGAAGGCTTAAACAAAAACATGATGTTTTGCCACAACGTAAGTTTTATGTAAGAACTCTAGGCTTGGCATTTTTCTTGTCATATCTTAGTGGGATATGAATAGCAGGTCTGAGTGTTCACCATTTTACAATGAAGAAACTTGAGGCAAAGAGAACTGTCCAAGTGTACTCAGAATTAACAGAACCTGGATCTTATAACCTTTCGATATGATTTCAGTCTGTGGAGGTTTGAGCTGTAATGCAGCCAGATTTAGCTAAAAAGTCAGTGGGTTCGGGGAAGGCCAGCAGGAGGCAGTGGAGCACCAGCACAAGCTGAGGCCAACTCCCATTGGTGAGGCTTGGGCAAATGTAGCTTAAGTCAGGTGAGAAGCACTGGCTTGGTGGCCTGGGCTTACATGAGGCCTACACTAAGCTCACTGCGTCTCTGCTGTCAGTGAGGAAGGTGGTTTCAGACCCTTCATTTTGGAGGGGCTGTCATTTAAAACAAGGTACCAGGCTCTGTCTGTGACTCTAGGACTGATAAGGCAGATTTCCTTGCTCTCAAGTCTTTGATCCCTGTGGCCTACCTACTAGGATTGAGTAAAGCAACACTGTCTTAATCATGCCTAGGCTCAAGGATCTTGTGATTTAGTCAAGTTCTTAGAGAGGGGAAAAGGATTTTCTACTAAAATCTCAAAAGAATTTCTATATTTTTATCCCCCACTGGAAAGATACTCCACAGGGAAATGAATGATGTCTACAATAAGGTGTGTGAGTCTTGGGCACAATTAATCTTCTTACCTACTACACGCTTTAGTTTGTCTCCACATCTTTGGACCTCAAGGCCTTTTATTTCAACCTCTCATTTCCTTTTCCTTTGCATTGGTTGAGACATTTTTTTAGCTCTCCAGTTGCATTCCTGTATGCCATCCTTACCCTTTGAATTTTCATGTAAGCCTCAAAAAAACAAATATTTCTACATAGTTTCTCTCCACCTATCTTTTCTGCCCCTTCCTTTGGCAGTTTTTAGACTTTTTTTTGTACGAAGAAACCCCTTGTTTTCCGTAGTCTTTCAAAACAACACTGTGATGAACATTCATCTCAGATTTTCTCCACTGTAATATTTAAAAATTGCAAATAAATTGTATTTTATTCTATTAGATTTAGACAGTGTACTCAAAAGCAAAATGTTTGTCAGAATGAGTAAATATGAAACAATACCATTGTCACTAGCTTAAATAGTGGTTAAGTGATATTGTTCAGTAAATCCATATGTAAGGATAAAGTCAGAATAGTAAAAGCTTGACATTTCACAGGAAATGTGTGGATTAAAGGGATTTTTATTTGTTTAAATATAGTCGCTTTGTAATTTAGATAGAATAATACTGTTAAACCAATTTGAAGATAAGGTGTGCTTTCTATGTTGATGTTTTTAGGTTATATTATATTTTGATGTCTCTTTACCAACAAAGGAAAGATATACATATATAGATTAATTCTCTTGGATATGAGTTTTATCACAATAATGCTTTTATTTCTACCTTTAGTTTTAAAAATACTTAAAATTGCCTCTTGAAAAATCTATATTTAAAAAAACATGAATCCAGGACATAGTCATTTTAATTAGTGTATTTGAATATAATGTTCACTAATGAGAATGATCTCAAGGTAATTCAAGAAGAGATCATGAAGTCTGTTTTTCTAGGAAATTTCCAATTTTTTCTGTCTTTAAAGGTGGACTTATTTTTAAAGGTGGACTCTTTTTTTTGCCAACATTGCATGCACTTTCGTTGCCCTTCTTGTTTCCTGTTATGCTTGCTGTAACTCACTGTGTAAACCTTGAGGCTCCATTACTTGCTTTGAGGTTTGGTATCCTATTCTTTAGTGATATTGCGACTGCAGAAACACTGCAGTGTGGTCTTTAGAATTTCAAGGGTGTCATAGTACTTAAGGCTACTTTCTGTCCTCCTTTTTTGCTTCCTTATTCCTTGCAAAGCTTTGCCTTGGCCACATGTGAGTTCAAGTAGTGTGTTTCCACAGTTTCTAAATTCTTACTCTAAGGAATTAGGGACAAGATGATTTCCCCAAATCATCCCTATCCCATGTATGGGCCTTCTAGGAATAGTACCATAAAAATCTGTCTTTATTAATAGGTCCTTTCTGACAAATCAACACTTAAACATTATTTTAACACAGTTTTATGATGATGATTATCTTCTACAGTTTTATGTATTTTAATCATTAACTTATTGATTGTGCCTTGAAGGCCTCTTACATAAAGGATGCAATTTGAATAATGCCTTGGTAAAACCATTTAATCTCTGTTTACAACTATATTATGTTTCATCCCAAACAGTAATGATGACTCCTTTCTATGGATAACATGGCACATATTGTTTACATGTAAATGTTATTTTAAAAGCTATATTTTGTTAGACTTAGATTTTCACATTCAAGATCATTCCTAAAGATTTATGTGATTTTTTAAAAGATAATTTTAATCTACCTATAGTGTGTATAAATTTATTACCTAGAGAAAAGGAAGAAATTATACTGTCTGGTAGGGGAGAGAATTCTGAATAATTAAGGGGCAACTGGTTGGAATTAATTTTAGTACATTGGGGATGAACTAGGTTTAGTTTAAGCCTCTGTTGATAAGAGCTCTAGAATCCTTTCTGTTTATCACAGAAGGCCCAGCCCTGTGTTAATCCTTTCCTGAGCACCTTAGCCAGCAGTGACTAACACCTCTTTCAACCTCCACTAAATTTTAAGTGTCTAAATAGCAGGGATTCTATCTTAAAGTTTTTATATTCTCCCCACCCATCTCTTGCATAGGAAAGAATGCTCTGCACCTAGTCTTTTCTTAATATGTATTCGTTGGCCAAAAATGGACCTAAGTGTGTTAAGCCATTAGTTTTCTCTTTGAAAAATTGAAGGATATGCTACTTCATGGTTTTTTCCTTCATATTTAAATCTTGCTGTTGTCATAAAGACAGACTTTTCATTTAAAAGTATAATTGCTAAGGAATGTGTTTTCATTCTTTCAGGGAACCCTTCCAGCCAGATCATTTGCTTTTCTGACTGTTGTGTATAGACAGGCTTGTCCTTAGAGAAAGCAGACTGTGAGTGCCACAGTGAATGCCTTGTATTATTTTCTCTTTACAAAGATAAACCAAAGTTCTAAAAGAGCACATTGTCTGCTTTATTTGTAGGGAAAGAATGTGTATCAAAAGGGGATATAATATTTTGTTGATAGAGACAAATGGACTAAAAAATAATGTTATTTTTCTTTGAAACATTTAACATTTTAAGTGGCTTTTTGAGAAGATGGCTGATTTAAAGTAAACTTGCTATCCTTTGGCATGGTTGAGGCATTTAAAATAATTTGTTAGAGTGGGGAATGCTAACCTTTATTAAGTCCTGCAGTATGTCTGGCACTTTTTGTAAATATTGTATCTATTTATTTATTTGAGACAGAGTCTTGCTCTGTCACCCAGGCTGGAGTGCAGTGACTTGATCTTGGCTCACTGCAAGTTCCACCTCCCAGGTATGAGCGATTCTCCTGCTTCAGCCTCCCAAGTACCTGGGACTATAGTTGTGCACCACCACGTCTGGCTAATTTTTGTACTTTTAGTAGAGACAGAGTTTTACTATGTTGGCCAGGCTTGTCTGGAACTCCTGACCTCAAGTGATCCACCTGCCTCGGCCTCCCAAAGTGCTGGGATTATAGGTGTGAGCCACCGTGCCTGGCCTACTTTGTATAAATATTCTTATTTAAGCTTTAGAAATTCACCATATAAAAATAGGTATAATTACCTGGATTTTGCAAAGAAACACCCTGAAGATCAGTGAGTTTACTGCTAGGTAGAAGTTCCGGGATTCACATGATTTTTCTGTTCATTGGATGGGCCATACCACAAACACTAGATAAGCTTTATGACATTGTCTTCTTCCTTTAGAAAAATGAAAAATAAAAACAAAATATTGAAAGGAACAGAGAATTAGACATTGCTGAACACCTGGCTAAATTAATTATTCTACTTGAGCCCTAACTTTAGCTAAGGGGGATAGAAAAAGTCCATGATTCTCATTTTTGGAAAGAAATATAATTTTCTTGGACAAGAAGAGCTTTTATTTTCATATTTATTAAACTCTGTCTGTATACTAATGTTTTAAGGACTGTCAGTAATCAGGAACACAATGCCACCATTCACAATTGCCATAATAAGAATAACATACTTAGGAATACAGCTAACAAGAGAGGGGAATGAGCTCTACAATGAGAATTAGAAAATACTGCTCAAAGAAATCAGAGATGACACAAACAAATGGAAAAACATCCCATACTCACAGATAGGAAAAATCAGTATCATTAAAATGGACATTCTGGCCAAAGTAATTTATAGATTCAATGCTATTCCTATCCAACTACCAATGACATTCTTCACAGAACTAGAAAAACTATTTTAAAATTCGTATGGAACCAAAAAGGCCTTAGTAGCCAAAGCAATCCTAAGCAAAAAGAACAAAGCTGGAGGCATCATGTTATCTAACTTCAAACTATACTACAGGGCTACAGTAACCAAAACAACATGGTACTGGTACAAAAACAGACATAGACCAATGGAACAGAATAGAAAGCCCAGAAATAAGGCTGCACACCTACGACCATCTGATCTTCAACAAAGCCAACAAAAGCAATGGTGAAAGGACTGCCTATTCAACAAGTAGTGCTGGGATAACTGACTAGCCATATGTAGAAGACTGAAACTGGACCCTTTCCTTACACCATATAAAAAAATCAACTCAAGATGGATTAAAGACTTAAATGTTAAACCCAAAACATTACAAACCCTGGAAGACAACCTAGACAGTACCATCCTGGACATTAGAAATGGACAAAGATTTCATGACAAAGATACCAGAAGCAATTGCAACAAAAGCACATATTGGCAAATGGGATCTAATTAAACTTAAGAGCTTCTGCACAGCAAAAGAAACTATCAACAGAGTAAACAGACAACCTACCAAATGGGAGAAAATATTTGCCAACTGTGCATCTGACAAAGGTCTAATATCCAGTATCTATAAGGAACTTAAATTTAAAAGAAAAACAAAAAAAAAGTCCATTAAAAAGTAGGCTAAGAACATGAACAGATACTTTTCTAAAGAAGACATACATGTGGCCAACAAGCATAGGAGAATAAGCTTAGTATCACTGATCATTAGAGAAATGCAAATCAGAACCACAGTGAGATACCATCTCATACCAGTCAGAATGGCTATTATTAAAAAGTCAAAAAATAATAGATGCTGGTGAGGTTGTGGAGAAAAGGGAACACATACACTGTTGGTGGGAGTGTAAATTAGTTCAACCATTGTGGAAAGCAGTATGGCAATTCCTCAAAGAGCTAAATACAGAATTACCATTTGACCCAGCAATGCTATTACCGAGTATAAGAGGAATATAAATCATTCTACCATAAAGACATATGCATGCGAATGTTCATTGTAGTACTATTCACAATAGCAAAGACATGGAATCACCCTAAGTGCCCATCAGTGACAGATTGGGTAAAGACAATGTGGTACACATATACCACATTTTATGGCTGAATACTCTTCAGCCATAAAAAAGAACAAGATCATGTCTTTTGCAGGAACATGGATGGAGGTGGAGGCCATTATCCTTAGCAAATTAATGCAGGAACAGAAAATCAAATGCTGCATGTTCTCATTTATAAGCGGGAGTTAAATGATGAGAACTCATGAGCATAGAGAAGGGAACAACAGACACTGGAGCTTCCTTGAGGGTGGAGGGTGGGAGGAAGGAGAGGAGCAGAAAAAAATAACTATTGGGTACTAGCTTAGTATGTGGGTGATGAAATATCTATACACCAAACTGCTATGATGTGAGTTTACCTATATAACAAACCTGCACATATCCCCCAAACTTAAAAGTTAAAAAAAAAAAAGAAAAAAATATGACTCTTGACCTCAGGGAACATAGTCTATACTACTAGACTGTTATAACTTGTATTTTAATATAACTATTGAATTGCCTTGTAAATAATAATAACCTCTTGGGAGACAGATACCACATTTTGTTAGGTTTAAATTCAAGTAAGTATTGGATATTTAGAAATATTTCACAAAACTTAATAAATAAGTAGACATTAGTCTCCTGAGAGGGAAGTTCTCTTGTTTTGGAAGGCACTGTGGTGTGGCGGGGAGAATGTAGACTTTGGAATCAAACCAGAGCCCAGACCTATTTGCCAGTTATTTGCCATGTGACTTTGGTTAAGTCAGCATCTCTGGACTTAGTTTTCTCATCTTTCAAATAAGGATAATGATGGGATTGATATGAAGATTACATATGATAATAACCCTTAGTATTGTGCTTATTAGCACAGTGTCTGATACATAGCAAATGATCAATAAAATGCCCTCCCCTAAGTTCTTATTTAATATGATGTAGAAAGTAGTAAGCATAGTAGGAGGACAAGCTCAAGAGTAAGATATATCTACCTAGGAGACTCAGAGAGGGCTTCATGGACAAATTGATATTTGAATTGAACCCTGAAGGATGGTAAGATTTGGACATACAGAATTGGGATGCATGAATATTTTATGATCCATGAAATATTCATATAAAGGTTGTTGGTAACATAATAAAGGACCTTTTAAACCATGGTTTGGCTAAACACATAGAACCATTACTCAAGTGGAGAGTCTTACGCTGAACCTTTGTATAAGCTGAGAGCATGTTATTAAGTTTCAGTTAAAGTATTCCTGCTGGATGCTGAGAAATTACAGGTTGGTTTTATTGCTGTCTTCTGATCTTTATCTTTCTTAATATATATATAGAAGTTAGAAAATATATATGGCGGTTCCTTGATACACATGTTTTTATTTCTTTTAAAATGTCAGATGTCCAAAGCAAGTTGGTTGAGGGTGCTGAGCTCTTTTCAGGGTTCAATTTTCTAATCAATGCCAAGATGCTAACTTTTAGGTAGTCATTAACGAGATACATTTTGGGGCTGGGCATGGTGGCTCACACCTATAATCTCAGCGCTATGGGAGGCCAAGGTGGGAAGATCACTTGAGCCCAGGAGCTCAAGACCAGCCTAGGCAACACAGCAAGACTCCCTCTCTCCAAAAAAATAAAAAAATCAGCTGGGTGTGGTGATACACACCTGTAGTCTCAGCTATTTGGGAGGCTGAGATGGGATTGAGCCCAGGAGTTCAAGGTTACAGTGAGCCATGAGCATGCCACTTCACTCTAGCCTGGGAGATAGAGTGACACCCTGTGTCTTAAAGAAAAAAAAAAAAGTTTTGGGCTTTGAGGTGATACAAAGATATAAGATCAGTGCCTCTCAAACTTTTTATGTTTGTCATACATTTTTTGAATATTTGAATTTTTGATAGCATGCTTAAAGTATCTAAGTTGAATCCATGGAAGTTATTATTGCAGAAATCACCTGGGTCACCCTTCAGAACTGTGTCATCATCCAAGCAGAACTGTTGACTGCCCTGACTTCAGTGTTTACCTATTCTAGTGAATTCTTGCAGTCTTTTTTTGGCTTTACCTTGTACTTCTTATCTGCAGCTAGTTATGCCTTTCTCAAAATTGTATCTAAGGGCCTACTCAGGTCAAGTTCCATCTGATTGATTTCACAATAACCATCTTTCCTCATTTTCAGCAAAGATAAATTTACTTGCTGATTTAAAATAATTGAAGAATTGGTTTAGAATAGTACATAGGATACTTGACGGGATAGATCCTAGACAACATAGATATAGGTATTTAACATCGCTAAGGTGGTACTGGCATACCTAGAAGATATTGCAGGTTTTGTTCCAGACCACCGCAATAAAATTTAAATAAAGGAAGTCACACAATTTGCTTTCCCAGTGCATATAAAACTCATATGTATACTACACTGCAGTCTATTAAGTGTGCAATAGCATTATATCTACAAAAACAATGTAGACACCTTTATTTAAAAATACATTTTTTGTTACTAAAAATGGTAATGATCATTTGAGCCTTTGGTGAGTTGTAATCTTTTTGCTGGTGGAGGTTCTTGCCTTGATGTTGATGGCTGCTGACTGATCAAGGTGGTAGTTGCTGAAGATTGGAGTGGCTCTTACAATTTCTTAAAATAAGACAGCCATGAAGTTTGCTGCATTGATTGACTTTTCCTTTCATGAAAGATTTCTTTGTGGCATGCAGTGCTGTTTGATAGCATTTTACCTGTAACAGAACTTCTTTCAGTATCGCAGTCTATCCTCTCAACCCTGATGCTGTTTATAAGTTAAGCGTATGTAATAATCTAAATCTTTTGTTGTCATTTCAACAGTGTTCACAGCATCTTCACCAGGAATAGTTTCCATCAGGAATAGAAACCACCTTCTATGCTCATCCATGAGAAGCAACTCTTTATCCACTAAAAAGTTTTATCATGATGTTGCAGCAGTCAGCTCATCTTTAGGCTCCACTTCTAATTCTAGTTCTCTTGATATTTCCACTGCATCTGCAGTGACTTCCTTTCCTGAAGTCTTGAACCCCTCAAAGTCATCTATGAAGGTTGGAAATCAACTTATTCCAAACTCCTGTTAATGTTGATATTTTGATCTCTTTCCAAGAGTCACAGATATTCTTAATGACATTTAGAATGGTGAATTCTTTCCAGGTTTTCCATTTACTTTGCCTAGATCCATCAGAGGAATCACAATCTATGGCAATGATATCCTAATTAAATATATTTTTAAAATAATAAGACTTGAAAGTCAATATTATTCCTTGATCCATGGGCAGCAGAATGGATGTTGTGTTAACAAGCATTAAAACATTAATCTCATCATACATCTCCATCAAAGCACTTGGGTGACTAGGTGCATTGTCATGAAGCAGCAATATTTTGTAAGGAATCCTTTTATCTGAGCACTAAGTCTCAATAGTGGACTTAACTGTTCAGTAAACTCTGCTATAAACAGATATGCTGTTACCCACATTTTGTTGTTCCATTTAGAGGTCACAGGCAGAGTAGATTTAGCACAATTCCTAAGGTCCCTAGGATTTTCAGAATGCTAAATTGTCTTTTACTTCAAGCTACCAGTTGCTATAGCCCCTAACAAGAAAGTTAGGGGCTAATTTGAAGCTAGGCATTGACTTCTCCTTTCTAGCTGTGAAAGTCCTAGTTGACATCTTCTTCCAATATAAGGCTGTTTTATTCACATTGAAAATGTGTTGTTTAATATAGCCACCTTTGTCATCTTAGCTAGTTCTTCTGGGTAACTTGCTGCAGCTTCTCCATCAGCACTTGCCACTTCACCTTGTACTTTTATATCATGGAGATAGCTTCTTTCCTTAAACCTCATAAACCCACCTGTGCTAGCATCAAACTTTTTTTTTTTTTTGTGGAGATGGAGTCCCGCTCTGTTGCCCAGGCTGGAGTGCAGTGGCGTGATCTGGGCTCACTGGAACCTCTGCCTCCCGGGTGCAAACGATTCTCCTGCCTCAGCCTCCTGAGTAGCTGGGACTACAGGTGCACACTGCCATGCCTGGCTGATTTTTTGTATTTTAGTAAAGACGAGGTTTCACCGTTGTTGCCCAGGCTGGTCTCGAACTCCTGAGCTCAGGCAATCTGCCCTCCTTGGCCTCCCAAAGTGCTAGGATTACAGGCGTGAGCCACTCTGCCCAGCCAATTGCTTCAAACTTTTCTTCTATAGTTCCCTCACCTCTCAGCCTTCACAGAATTGAAGAGAGTTACAGCCTTCCTCTGGATTAGGCTTTCACTTAGGGGAATGTTGTGGCTGGTTTAATCTTCCATCTAGACTACTCAATCTTTCTCCACATCAGCACTAAGCCTGTATTGCTTTTTTATCATTCACATGTTCACTGGAGTATCACTTTCGATTTCCTTGAAAAACTTTTTTTTTGCATTCACAGCTTGGCTGTTTGGCACGAGAAGGTTAGCTTTTGGCCTATCTCACTTAACTTTCTCAAAGAGGCTAGCTGTCAGCCCATCTTTGCTTTGCACATGGCTTCCTCACTAGCCTAATAATTTCTAACTTTTTACTTTAAGTGAGAGATGTGCGAGTCTTTTTTTCACTTGGTCAGAGTCCTTATTAATTGGCCTGATTTCAATATTTTTGTGTTTCTGGGAATAAAGAGGCCTGAGGAGAGGGAGAGAGACAGGGTTATGTCCAGTTGGTGGAGCAGTCAGAAGACACACAACATTTATCAGCTAAGTTTGCTGTCTTAGGTGGGTGTGTTTGTGACACCCCAAAACAATTCCATTAGTAACATCAAAGATCACTAATCACAGATCACCAAAACAGACATAATAATAAAATATAGAGAATGAGATATAATAATGAAAAAGTTTGAAAAATTAAGAGAATTACCAAAATGTGACACACAGACACAAAGTGAGCATATCCTGTTGGAAAAATGGCATGGATAGACATGCTCGATGCAGGGTTCCACAAACCTTCAATATGTAAAAAATGCACTATCTATGAAGCACAATGAAATGGGCGCAATAAGATGAGGAATGTGGGTATTATATTCTTCTTAGATAGTTTAGCACTCCAGGAAACACCTTAGTTCTTTATTTTACACTCAGGTGATCTCATCCTTTCTTATGGCTTCACATAGATCTATATGCCAATAACTCCTAAGGGCATATTTTCAGCCTAACCACCTCCCTGAGCTCTAGACCCAGATATCCAAGTGCCTACTTATGATCTACAGATGATCTATGTTCTAGATTATACAAACATCGTAATACTTAGGTGGTATCTCAGACTTAAAGTGCTTAAAACTAAGCTGTTGGTATACCATTCTGCCCCAAACCAACTCCTCCTATCGTCTTTCCAATCTCAGATAATGGCAATCTCATTGTTTTAGTTGCTCAGGTTAAAAACCTTGATGTATATAGTCTTTTACTCCTTTCTCTCATACCGATGCTCTCAGCAAATTCTTCTGGCTCAACCTTGAAAGTATATCATTATCCAGTTTGTACTGCCACAATATTGGTCCACACCATCACCATCTCTTATCTAATTATTGCAATAGCTTCCTAATTCCTCTTCCAGCTTCTGTCTCAGAAGATTTGATCAGTGTAATTATAAGCAGAGAGTACAAGGGCCACTGTTTGGGCCAATTTTTTTCAAAAAGGGGATTTAAAATTTCTTCAAGTCCTAGGACAGAATCTCTTAATGCCCTATAGAATTTCATGTCCCACGTCTTGAGAGAGGTGATTTTCTCCTCTATGTATAGTAAATTGACCATAATATTAAGAGCTTTCCAGTATAGCCTCTGTGAATATCTGATTTTGGGGATAGCCTTTCGATGGACAGTTGCCCTATATATCCTAAAAATGTTACTAATCTTAAAATAATGAGAATATAATGAAGTGTACTCACCACTGAAAGTCTACTGAACATAATCTTCTTTTTAATCATTTAGAATGAACTTCAGGATTTGGAACATGCTTCAGGCTGATCATTAGGAACATCAATTATCATTGTATAGTAGAGGAAGCACTGGTTAGTAGAGATTTCCAGTTGAGTTAGTGTCAGAAAAAGCAGCATTCTGTCTTCTAAAATTAAAAATAGTTTAATTCTTTCTGGTTATTTTCCCCTCTGAAATTTGGGGCATAAGGTTACCTACTGATATTGTGGTAGCAGTGATGGTTGACTGGATTTATATATTACTTAATGGCAGATTTTACTTTAAAAAGGGAAGTTCAGTCGTTGAATTTTGCAAACACTTTATCTGACTTATATATGCCTTAGCTTTTTTATTTATTTATTTGGAGACAGACTCTTGCTTTGTCACCCAGGTTGGAGTGCAGTGGTGCGATCTTCGCTCACTGCAACCTCTGCCTCCTGGGTTCAAGCAATTCTCCTGTCTCCAAGCAATTCTCCTGTGTCAGCCTCCCGAGTATCTGGGATTACAGGCACATGCCACCATGCCTGGCTAATTTTTGTATTTTTAGTAGAGGCAGGGTTTTGCCATATTGGTCAAGCTGTTCTCAAACTCCTGCTCAGGTGATCCACCCTCCTCAGCCTCCCAAAGTGCTGGGATTACAGGCGTGAGCTGATGCGTACAGCTGGCCTTAGCTTTTTAAATTTTATATGAATTTCCCAACTATGTAGACATGAAGTCCTTTCTGGTTTAGTGGCAAAATAAAAGATACTAATGAGAATGTCTTTGGGACATAATTATGTAGATTTAAAGGAGTGATGTAGTTTTAATTATGCCCTTTAGCTAGTGTACTTACATATTAAGCTCATTCATGTCTCCTTTTCCCTCTGAAACATTGCTTTTCTCAAGCCCTAAATTAGTAATCAGCTCATGGGTGTACCTGAAGTTTATGTAAGTTAAGTTGAAGGCTGCCAAATAATGTGTTTAAACTATTAATCCAAAACATACAGTTTATAGTTAGAAAAAAATGGCCCATGGGTTTACAGTGTTCTTTGCTGGACTGACATGGAGGAAATTCCAGCCTTGTATGTGTATGTGTTCCTTTCTCTTTCCCTCCCCAAATAAAAAACATCCTTTGGTTGGAATGCATTGAAACATGTAATATATTGTCTCCCTTTGGCTATTTTTATTAAACTCAGGGAACGGGAAGTAAAATAATAATTGTAATATGAAATTATAAATTTTCTTTCCTTTTTTGGTTTGTTTGTTTACTTTTATTATGGGCTTCTAGATTTAATAGAAAAGTAGCTACCTCGAAGCTATGAAATGATTTATTCACTTTAGGGCAAAACTTATGAGGCTACCAGCCCCTATTTTGTGGGTGGTTTTGTTTTTATTTGTGAGAAGCTAGATAGGGAAAATCATTGGTAAATTTTAAAAAGAAAGGCTCTGAAAATGTTTTGAGGCTAAATTTTCTCTTAAATAATAGTAAAAATGTAGAATTTATAATAGGAGTCAGTAAACTTTCTTTAAAGGGCCAGATAGTAAATAAATTTTGCTTTATGAACCATGTGGTTTCTGTTGCACTTACTCTGCTGCTGCAGCATGAAAGCAACTATCAACAATATTTAAACAAATGGATGTAGCTGTGTTACTATCACAAAAACAGGCAGCCTTCTGGATTCGGCCTGTGGACTGGCCATAGTTGGCCATCTCCTAATTTAGAATGTGGATTCCTTAAATTTTTTTCTTTATTCCTTTTTCAAACTGACATTAAAACACACTGACATTAAAACACACTGATATGTGTTTTAGCTACTTTTATATAATTTTTCTCAATGATCATCATAATAGTTTATGAAACAAGTGGAGAAAATACTTTAAAAAAATTTAACATTATCAAAAATTCCAAATGTATACAAATACAAATTCTCACATATCTGTCGTCATACTAAACAGTTATCAGTCTTTTCCATATTTTATTTATTTATTTATCCCTTATTATTATTTGTGTTTTAGCTATTTTTGAAGCAAGTTTCAGACTGTCATATGCTGCTCTCTCTATATAAAGAGATTTTTTATGAGGAAATGGCTTATGTGATTATGAAGCCTGAGAAGTTCTATGATCTGCTGTCAGCAAGCTGGAGACTCGGGAAAGCCAGTGGTGTAGTTCAACCTGAGTCCAAAGGCCTGAGAACTGGGGGAGCCAGTAGGTCCCAGTCCAAGGATAGGAGAAGACTGATGTCTCAGCTCATGTGGTCAGGCAGACAGGAGAATTCTCCCTTCACCTTTTGTTCTATTCAGGCTCTCAACAAATTGGGTGCTGCCCTCCTACATTGGGGAGAGCAGTCTTCTTTACAGATCCTACTGATTGGAATACCAGTCTCATCTGGAGACACCAAGACACTCTCCAAAATAATGTTTAGCTAAATATCTGGGAACGCTGTGATTTAGTCAAGATGGCATGTGAAATTAACCATCACAGATACCTATACACAGCAGTATGCACCTCTAAAAAAAAATAGACACTTTCTTACATAATTGTAGTGTTACTGTCTTATGACTTGGCAAAATTAGCAATAATTTTTGGTGACATCAGATATCCAGATCATGTTCAGATTTCTCCAACTGCTTAAAAAATGTTTTGTTTTTGTTTTTACATCTGGTTTGTTTGAACTAGGATTTACATCAGGTCACATGTTAGATTTGGCTGTTGTCTCATAAATCTTTTAGTAATCCCTTACCTCTCCTTTTCTCTCTCCTTTTTTGTTTTTGTTTTTTTCAGCCCATTAACTTGAAGAAATGAGCCAGTTCTATATGTTTCACATTTTGGGTTTATTTGTTTGCTTTTTTTGTGGTGTCATTTAATTTGTTACTGTATAACCCATTTTTTTTTTCTGTAAATGGAATTAGCTCTAAAGACTTACGTAGATTCAGGCGCAACCTTTTTGGCAAGAATCCTTCATAAGTGGTACTTTATTTTTCATATTGTGTCACATAGGAAGCATATTGGGTAGCAGTAGTTTGAACCCTCTGTTCTTCAACAAGTCTTCATCTAATGGTTTGTCTATCGAATGATCTTTCCAAAATCACTTATATTATTTTTATTTCTAAAGTTATTAGCTGGAATTCTTCTGTAAGAACATTTCCAAATCATCTTAAGTGTTTGGCTTCCTCAGAAATAAATAAGGGAGATCATATTTTTATTCCATTCTGTACCTTAGTATTGAGTCTCAAAAAGGTTAAATGAATTGTCCAAACATATAAACTTTGTATCCTATATAGCTCAGAATCAAACCTAAGTTTTTGATACCAATTCTAATTATTTCAGATGCACTGCCAATGGGAGTCAGTCAGTTGACATCGTAACAGGTTCTTCTTTGTTGTTGTATGTATAGCTTTAAAAGTTAAGGGATGAGAAATAGGATGATTTAGGATAAGCCCCTTTCCTGTTTTATTTTCTGCATAAATTCAGGAAAGAATAGGTAATTTCATCTGACAAACTACAGATATAATTTTCAGAGCAATTAAGTGCTTGGAAATACAATTACTTGGATTCAAATTCTTGCTCTGCAACTTAGCAGCTGTAACCTGACTTTTGGCAGTTTCCTTAACCTTTCTGTGCTCCAGTTTCTTCATCTGTGAAAAGAGGATCCTAATAGTATCTGTCCTAAAGGGTTGTTGTGAGTACTAAATAAAGCTAATACAAAGAAAGTGCTTAGAACCGTGCCTTGTACATAGTAAGTACTCAATATCATTTTGCTTTTCAGAAATAAAACTGTCCCATGGCTATACCTTTACTTCTACCAGTCATCCAAACCAAACATTAGAAATATTGTAATTTTGATCAGCATGGGGATTAGAAAAAAAAAAGAAAAATATTGTAATAAGCATAAACTTGTAGATAGTAGTTGAGAAGATGTATAAAATCTGAATGTTTGTGTTTTAGATTTTTTGTGTTTGAATTTCTTGATGGCTTGACTTAAAATTTTTTTATTTTATGATGTAAAACCATTCTGTTTTTCACTTTTACTACAGTGTTCAATACATTACATGAGATATTTAATGCTTTTATAAGGTAAGCTTTGTGTTGGATTAGTTTGCCCAACTGTAGGCAAATGTAAGTGTTCTGAGCATGTTTAAAGTAAGCTGTGATTTTTGGTAGGCTGGGTGTATTAAAATTCATTTTTGTCATGATATTTTCAACTTATGATGGGTTTATCAGGACATAATCCCACCATAAGTCGGGGAAGGTCTCCACTTTTCTTTAGAGTCTTAAAGGTCTTCCCCAAGTGCAGTAGGAAAAGCTATCATAAGTATTGCCTTATATTCACTAGGACGTAAAATATGTTATTGTGTAGTATGTGAGAAAGCAAAATGCCCTTTGCCTTTCCCCCCCGTTTTTCATTACCTACTTGCTAGAGTTATAGATAGTATCACTTGATTGAAATTGTGTTTATAATCACATCTTAGTCATGTTGGGGGAGATTTTTTATAGACATATTTTAAAAGATCCTTTTAGCAGGCTATTTTTCATCATTTAAAGAGCAAGGGAAATCATATTTTTCCAGAAATACTGCAGTGAAATCTGCCTGTAACTATAATTCTGCATTATGTTTTCATAGTTGACATCTTAAAATGTGAACGAAGGTATGTATATGCATTTGGTTTGATTTTAGACTGTTTGTTTGTTCACAGGCATTTCTTCTCTGATTTGTTATACAATATTATGAAAAGCTTTTTGCTATATATTTCCTGAGCTGTCAAAAAGTATCTGACTTTTTGAGTATGACTGAAAAAAATACTTCAAAAGGACAATTGTGTTCAATAAATATATAGTCCATATTATTTAAAAATTTGCCCAGTATTTGAAAATGCTTTGTATTTGACCACATAAATCAGAGTGGGTATGCCCAGTCCAATTTTCTAGGTGGATAGGTAGGAAAATATGTTTTTCCATGACCAGTAATGTCATTTATTATGTCACCCAAATCCAATGAATAACTTGGTTTTGTTTTACTGTAAAGATCCTAAACCTTCTTTTATTGGTCTTTTCCCCTCATTGTTTATGTGAGATTACATCACCTAATCTGAGGTAGGAAGAGCTGCCATCTGAAGAACTGCAGGTTTGTAGGCTTCTGTGTCAATATTTTATGGGGAAAACCCCTACTATTTATTATTTATTCCTTGAATCAGCTTTTCAGTATTACTTGTTCGCTACATGCCCCAGCATTTCTGTATTTGAGAATGAAACACCATTGTAGAACATTATGATAGAATAGAATAAAATTGGAAGCAGTAATCATGGCTTTTCTATTTAACAGTTTTGATTGCCAAAGGAAAATGTATAGAAAATTCTATTCTCACAAAGATATTAAGGGAATAATAAAAATGGTGAGCAACCATGTAGTTAAATGTGAAGATTGGAGAGCTATCTAAGACTTAAAGGGGGTGTGCCTGTCCAGGTACTTTGCTACAAATACATGCGTTTTCAACTATGCTGGTTAAAGCCTGAGCATTAGAAAGAAAATTGGATCTAAAGGCTGAAGGCCACAGGCCAGGCCCTTGCAACCTCTTTGGGAGCTCTGAAAAGCTTTTTACCCTCTCTGGGCCTCTGTTTTCTCCCCAACTAAAGGAAAGAAAGAATGCCTGCTTTTTGGTGACGATCAAGACTTAAGTACGTTTTCTATAAGTGTAAGTTCTTTCTGAACTTTGGATTGCTATTGCACCAAAGTTAGGATGAGCTATATTGGTTATGAGGGAGTACAGTTATGATTATTTGGGTCAGTTAAGATTTAACTTGGTTCATTTTATCATTCTGGTCAAGATACTTACTTTTCCTAAGGTCTGTCTTATGCTCTCATTTTTATATGGGAATAATAATCTCTATTTTTTGTGGGTTCTTGTGAGGAGCAGGGATAATGTCTGTCAAGTGCCTGACACACTGCTGAGCACATATAGGCACTCTGTACGTTGTAGCTGTTGTTAATTTACTTTAAAAAAATTATTGATAGTTAACAAATACTATTTTATGCATGTTAATTTGAAAGGAAGTAAATGAGCCCTTTTGATAGTAGGAAAAGTTGCAGATATTAACAGTAAGTGGCATTTGTGAAGAGCATAATTTTCTAATAAATTTTTAAGTAATTGGATTAGTTAAAAATTAATTGTTGCAAAATTAAGTAATATTGATTTTTCTTAAAACCAAAACACTGATAACTACAAAAAGTAAGCAAGTTCTAAGTCTAGATTTGCTTATGGTCTTTCTTTTCTCCCTGAATGCCATCATCTATGTTCATTACTCAGACTTTTTTGAAAATAGAATTTGAACATAAACTTGTAGAAGTATAATTAAATGAGAAAAATATATATTGAGGTTTATAATCTGCCTGTGAATTCTAAGGTGAATTCATCAACCTGCAGTTTTTATTTCAGTTCTTACCCTTTTCTTTTTTTTTTTTTTTTGAGATGGAGTCTTGCTCTGTTGCCAGGCTGGAGAGTAGTGGCGCGATCTTGGCTCACTGCAACCTCTGCTTCCCAGGTTCAGGCTATTCTGCCTTAGCCTCCTGAGTAGCTGGGACTACAGGCACGTGCCACCACGCCCAGCTAATTTTTTTATTTTTAGTAGAGACAGGGTTTCACTGTGTTAGCCAGGATGGTCTCGATCTCTTGACCTCATGATCCGCCCGCCTTGGCCTCCCAAAGTGCTGGGATTACAGGCGTGAGCCACCACACCCTGCCACTTTGCTTAACTTTATTAGTTATTCTTGCCCATTATTTTCTTGTGGATGTGAAAATGAATTGTATGTGCATCAGAAACCATATTTTTAGTTCGTTAACTCATGGCAGCTGCTGAGCCATGGTGAGATCTTTAAGAAAGGTAATAGAAACACTTGTCTAAGAAAATGGTAGGAATCTAAGTTAACTGATGTGAAAGAGCTGTGTATACATCTCTTTATTGTGCTGTTTTATATAGGTTTATAATGAAAGCCAAATGCCTTTGTTTCGTCTTTTTGGTTTGATGCCTTGCCAGTGTCATAGAGCAGGAAATGAGCTTTATCATTTCTTTTGTGATCACCTAATTAGCAAATGTCTTTAATTTCCTTTTAGAATTCATGAACTTGATTATATTTTCCTATTCACTGTCAGTAATAATCTTGACTATCCCATTTCTCTATATGCTGCTGGCTTTCTCTTCATATCTATGAACAGCACTGTTTTTCTAACATTAAGATAATTTTTCTAATTGTGTTGTCAAATACTCAGGAAATGAACATTGAAAGGATGGATTCTTTTCTTTTCTGGGGATTCTAATAAAAAAGTATCAAGTGGCTTTCCAGGATGTAAAGCAGCAATAATATAGGTAAAACAGTGCCTAGAACAGAGTAAGCCCTCAATAAATAGCTATTATTATGGTTAGAAAATAACTTTTATTTGCCAAACAGTAAATCACAAATTTTGAACTATGCATTCAAGATTATTGAATTTTGCAGTCACTATTTTATGGCTGATGAGAAGATAAATTTCCACTGGTCATCAGTTTTTAGTGACAGACTTCAAGAAAGTGTGTAAACTTTCTTCATCTTCAGGTTGTAAAGCTGAGGAGCATTTTTTAAATTAAAGTTACCATGAAATTGGTGTCATTCCTGTAATTTTTTTGCCGGCAAGATATGCACAGGGACAATTTACACATAGAATTTTATTGGAAAAGAAAATCTATTTGATTTACATAATGATAAAACAGTAAAGAATGCTGTGTTCCTCTAGTTCCCTCATATTGAGGTATCTAAAACCCAAATAAAAAATACATGAAAAGCATTTTCTCATCTTTTTTACCTTTTAATCATTTCCCTTTAGAACACCTGTCATTTCTGTCAAAAGATTTTTCATAAACTTAGAATTTTATTGCATTATTATTTTGAGCTTTAAGATGGCAAATTAGAAATGGCATATCTTCTTTAAATTATTATCAAAGCAAAAGTTCCTACATATCAGTAAGGTAATGAATAAGAATTATGTTTTTTCCTCATGATCTCCCTATTGTGCCTATTATTATACAGAACAAAAACAACAATGAAGGCTGGGCGTGGTGGCTCACGCTTATAATCCCAGCACTTTGGGAGGCCAAGGTGGGCAGATCGCTTGAGGTCAGGAGTTCAAGACCAGCCTGGCCAACAGGTGGTGAGACCCAGTCTCTACTAAAAATACAAAAAATTAGCCGGGCATGGTGGCGTAGCCTGTAATCCCAGCTACTTGGGAGGCTGAGGTTGGAGAATTGCTTCCACCTGGGAGGTGTAGGTTGCAGTGAGCCGGGATAGTGCCACTGCACTCCAGCCTGGGCAACAGAGCAAGAGTCCGTCTCAAAAAGAAACCAAAACAAAACAAAACAAAAAACCAAAAAACACAACAGTGAATGCATTCCCTTCTTACGTAAGAAACACATGTCAGGCTCACAAAACCAAAATTTATTTCTGAGGGTTCCAGCAAATTTGGCAAATTAGTCATTATTAACTGGGTTCATAGCCTCCAAAGACTTAAATTCATAACCCCATTTCTAGTGGATGACAGAAAATGTGCAAGGCTCCTGAATTGTTTCAGTCATCAAGGTGGAGCTGTCTTGATTCATGTAAAATCCGTGAGAGGAACCTCTAATCACTCCTAGTTCTGCCTCCATGTCAACCCCTGTATGTGTTAAATACTTACCATCTTACTTTGTATTTGTTGAAATGTTTCTCTATATTTGTTTTATCGTTCATGAATATTTTGTATCTCCAACTACAATTTTTAAATCCTAGATTTTTTCTAACTTATGCCTCTTATTTCCTGCCTGCTTCCTCAGTGTCCAGTATAGCACACTACAGTCTATTTCTTAAAGGGAAGAAAAAGTTTAATTAATGAACAAGATGCTGTCAATGTAGTATAGCAAAAAGGAGAAGAAAAGGCACATTAAAGCTCCCTTTTATTTTGCTTTGTTCAATCCCCAGTTGAATGGAATAGTGTTGAGTGGCAACCAAAACCATGGAATTTGAGATTACTTGTTTCAATATTGAATGAAGGCTCAGCTCAGAGAGATGGGTTTTAGTGCATTTTTTTTTCCCTTAGTGGAATTAAGGTGACTTTCCTTTGCACGTTGTGTCACCTCAATTTAAGAGCTAAACAGCTTGCGCTTGTTGGTTGGGTAACTTAATTTTGCAGGTTTGTGGATATGATGTTTTCATAACGGAAGGGAAGAGTAGATAATAATCCTCTGAACCTTTAAGGAATTGAGATTTAACAGTACATTATACATTTATATGCAATTTTGTGTGCATACCTGTGGAATTTAATTTATAGTTTTTCAAGATCCTCATTGTCAAGCACAGTGGGCATAAGGCAGAGAGATTTAAGGGAATAGAGAGATGTCCCTGCCATCACAGTTCACTGTCCAGATTGGATGAATATAGCTAAGAAAGAGAGACCAAATCACGTGATGGGGGGCACATCCATTGTTTAAACAAGCCAGAGCAGCACATTTTGTGAAAGGTGTATTATTTGGTATTATAAGGTAAAACAAATTCTAGCCTTTTTACAAATCACCTAATGCAGCTGCTTGGGAAAGGGCTCTCATCTGCCACTACTTAAGTTTGAAAAGTAATATTATGCTTTTCTTTATTTAGTTACTTATTTATTTACTTTTGTTAGAGATTGGTTTTTGCTCTGTCTCCCAGGATAGAATGCAGTGGCACAGTCATAGAGTAACCTCACTGTATGTGAGGTTAACCTCAAACTCTTGGGCTCAAGCAATCCTTCTGCCTTGGCCTCTCAAATTGCTGGGATTACATGCTTAAGCCACCGCACCTGGCCTATACTTTCATTTATTTAGAAGCAAGTTAATTTGTCAACTTGTCTTGGGGATTATTATTATTCAACAAATTACTCTTTAAGCTGCACATCAAAATAGTATTATTCCCGCAATTTTACATGTGTTGTGTTTCTCATTATTGTTCTGCTCATTTGTATGCTATATAGGACATCAGAGGCAGCTTTTGAGTTTTAAAGAAAGTTCATCTACATGTGAAGTGGCTAGTGGAGTTGTGATCCTAGAAGTTGTCCTATCAGAACACCATGCTTAGATTTGCATAGTCATCCTCAGCTTCCTTTTTTTATTACAGTCTATTTAAATGATTAAATTTGAATTAATATATATTAAAGTTCTTCAGGAACAGCATTTCTTTATAAAACAGAATAGAAAATAATTCTTATTTTATGCTCAGTTTATGACATGATAAACCAAAAAGAGAACTATGGAAATTGTATATAGCAGTATGGTAATTTAAAGATCACTCATATAAGCTTTTAAAGATTATATATACGTGTGTGTGTGTTTCAGGAGAAAAGTTGTTTCACGTGATAATCTATGCAGGTAAACTATCCAGGTAAAATGATAAGCAATTGGATTTGTCTTTGGAAGTTTCTAAATGTGATATAGCATAGGAAAACAAATACGGGCAGAAAAATCCCTTAATGTAATTAAATAGCATAGTAACATCCTTACACACATATATAGAGTTTCCGCATAGTCGGTGGTAGAGACAAGTTGTAACGAATTAAGCCCAAAATTGAACTTCAGGACTTTTGAGTTTACCTATCTACTCTTCTGCTATGGCTTTGGAGAAATAATCTATTACTCAGAAACTTTAGCTATAAAATGATAACTGTAGTAGTGAGGCAAAAGAATAGGCTCTGAAGGCAGGGAACCTAAGGCCAATTCATGCAAACTTCCTGGAACTAAATTCTAGGACCTTCATTTGCATAAGGTGCCTATTCACACCAGCCTCCGATTGGCCATGAGGCAAACCTGCACTGTGGCCTATGATTGGTCCATTTTAGGACCTTCATTTGCATAAATAAGGTGCCAATCCAGCTTGTCTTTGATTGCCCATGGGCCAGTTCACTTCAGCCTCTAATTGGCATGAGCCAGCCCTTCATTTACATAGGGTGTAACCAATGGGAGACCTCTAGAGGGTACTTAAAACCCCAGAAGACTTTGCTACCAAGGCTTTTGAGCCACTTGCTTGGGCCGCTGCCATTCTGTGGAGTGTACTTTCACTACTATTGCCTCCCACTTCAGTAAGTCTACACTTTCCTTGCTTGTTTGTGTGTGCTGTTCAGTTCTGTGTTCAGTGTGCCAAGGACCTGGACATCTCAATGATCAGAACCTTCTACCCGGTAACAGTACTGAGAAAAATACTGTAAATTTATTTAAAATCAACTAGTTATATAATTTGCAAGTGGCTACTTTTAATTTTCTAATAATTACCTATAGGAAATATTAGGAAAAGGTAATTTCTGTCATCATCACCACCAACAATATTTAGTGTGCCTGTAATGCACTAGCCAGGAAAGAGGGAGACTGAGACCGTTGGGGTCTGAAAAGGAGCAAGGACCAACTTCGGGATCTTCTACCCACTCTGCTGTACTCTTTTTCCAGTAAGGCAGGAATTTTTTTAGCTCAGATCCAGAGGAGAGACTGTGAAATGAAAAATTACAGGGTATCATTTATTCAGTAAGTACTAGATAGAATCATATGAAGTTGCTGTTAATATAGATCAAAAATAGTACAACGTCATGGCAGTTTCATGTAGTCCCATCTAATATTTATAGAGCTCTCGGTATGTCCTGGGCATTGTTGTGGGTGCTTAAAGGTATAGAACTTAACAAAATAGACAAAATCCCTGTTTTACTGGAGTTTGCATTCTCATAGAACCTCCAGCCAGACTGCTCTTCTTACCCTAGAGTCAGGTATACCCAACTACCTGCTCTGTGTCTCCCCTTGGATGCCAAATAGGCTCCTCAAACATAACATGGCACAGACCAATCTCCTGGTGGATAAACAATACACTTAGATTTTCTTCCTGCCTTATAGATAGAAATCAGGGCTAGAAGGACCATGAACGACCTAGCCCAAGATCCATCTTTTTCTCTCTTTCTCACTGTCGAGTTAATAGAGCCAATAAATAAGATAGTAATTTCTATCACACTAAATGGTGATTTTTATCTGTTGAATTGTAAAATGTACCCAGACATGAAAAGGGAGGCTGGTAGACTGCTGAACACAACTATGATGTATTTGCTTTTTCTAATACATTGTGACAAGCTATTCTGTATCCTTCACTACACATTGTAAATAGCTGAGAGGTGTTATGATTCAGTGAATGAGCTCTGGATAGGGAATCAGCAGACCTAAATTGGAGTTTTAGATTTGCTATTGTGGGACTCTGTTACTCAGCTAGCCATCAGCAAATATAAATAAGTTAACTATTCCTACATACTTAAATGATATTGTGAAAATAAATGAGATAATTACCAAGTGGTTGGAAAATTTACTCTTGAGGGGTGATAATTGTTATATAAAATACAGGTAGTTTTAATATTCAGTTTAATTAATCTGTTTTTTTTCTTGATTAAGGTACTACAGACTTCAAAACTTTGATACGCTTTAAAGTGTATTAAATTGTCTGTTTTTGTTTGTTTGTTTGTTTTGAGACGGAGTTTTGCTTTTGTTGCCCAGGCTGTAGTGCAGTTGTGCGACCTAGACTCACTGCAACCCCCACCTCCTGGGTTCAAGCTATTCTCCTGCCTCAGCCTCCCAGATTGCTGAGATTACAAGCAAACGCCACCACCCCTGGCTAATTTTGTATTTTTAGTAGAGATGGGGTTTCACCAGGTTGGCTAGGCTGGTCTCAAACTCCTGACTTCAGGTGATCCACCCGCCTCGGCCTCCCAAAGTGCTGGGATTACAGGCGTGAGCCACCATGCCCAGCCTAAATTGTCTGATTTAGTCTGTGCTGAGCTTGTTTTTCCCAACTGTTGTTGTAGGCATGTTCATGATAATATACCGTTGATATTTTAATTTTTGGGTTAAATTCCTATAAATAAATATGAGAAATTTGTTAGGATATTTAAAGCATCTTCTAACCTTTAAAAATATGTGCTTTTAAAAATTATTAGGTTGTAGAATTGGGAAAAAATGCAATTTGTCTTATCTTTTTCTATTAGCATGTTTCCAGTGTACAGTTCATTCAAAGGGGGGATAGTGTGGCAAAACAAATTCAGTTTCTTAATGATAAATCACAGTGAAGTACAGAAGTAAACAGATAACCTGAAGCCGGACAATGAAGTTTACATAGCCCTTCCTTGGCAGAGCCATCTTTCTGCACTGCAGAGAACACAATCCATCAATAATTTAATTCAGTTACATTTGGTTATGAGAAAGGAACCACTTTGTTTAGGGGCTTTAATTCTGATCCTTTATCGTCATTCACAAAATGAAGTAACCTATCATTACTGTGATGCCTGTAACGTATCACTAAAAGGGAAAAGGGGGAAGCATTTCTCTTCCGTCATGGACATTTTCTCAGATATTTCTATAGGGTTTGATATGCTGCTTCTTTGTATTAAATAATATTTATGTGGTGTTTATGTAGGTAAATGGTTTAATGTTGCAAATTGCAAGAAAAAAAAACACTAAGACATCTGAAAATTCCCCTCTTATCTGTTTTAGGTATCTTTGAACTATATAATAAAACATCTATGCCTATTGAAGTTAAATGACCTGTTACAAAATCATCTTTTTTATACTTCATATTGGGTAGCATAGCAGTATATTGTAATTTGTATAATTTTATAAGACTTGCTGGATGTCATAGTAAATACAAATAACTTTATTTAAATATATAGTAATTTGCCTTTTTGACAGAAAACCATGTTTCCCCCAAAACTGCATATTTTAAGCAAATTAAAAATTGCCACTAGATTCTGCCTCTGCTGCTTTTTTAACATTGCTGCCACTTTAAAATTTTACTCTAGTTTTAGAAGAGATTACTTGTGTTTCTTGGGTGGGTACAGGCCTGTGCAGATCCTCATAACATGGTAGAAGGAATGGAGACTTTGAACAAGTCATAACAAGGTTTCAGTCCTGACACATCTTACTGTGTGCATTTGAACATTTCACTTAGTATTTCGAAGTCTCAATTGCCTAGGCTGTAAAATAGGGATATTCACACCACCTTTGCCTAGTTATTAGGAGAATCAAATGAGGTAATCTATGTTGTACTTTTCCATTGCCTGGTATATAAATTTTTTTTTTTTTTTGAGACGGAGTGTCACTCTGTCGCCCAGGCTGGAGTGCAGTGGCACGATCTTGGCTCACTGCAACCTCCACCTCTGGGTTCAAGCGATTCTCCTGCCTCAGCCTCCCGAGTAGCTGGGATTACAGGCGCCCACCACCACGTCTAGCAAATTTTTGTGTTTTTAGTAGAGATGGGGTTTCACCATATTGGCCAGACTGGTCTCAAACTCCTGACCTCAGGTGATCCACCCGCCTCAGCCTCCCAAAGTGCTGGATTTACAGGCATGAGCCACTGCGCCCGGCCACAAACTTTTTATTTGTGAGAAAAGTTTAGATTAATGGAAAAGTTACAAAAACAGTACAAAGAGTTCCATATACTCTTCACCGAGCTTCTCCTAATATTAGCAACTTGCACAAATATTATTCAACTATCAGAATCGACAAATTAACATTGGTACAATACTGTAACTAGAGACTTTATTCACATTTTACCAGTTTTCTCACTAATGTCCTTCTGCTATTCCAAGATCCAGTTCAAGACTCCACATTGCATTTAGTTCTCATGTCTCCTTAATCTCTTCTAGTCTGTGACAATTTCTCAGTCTTTCCTTGTCTTTTCATGACCTTGATACTTTGGAAGGATACTGGTTACTTTGGGTTTGTCTGAAGTTTTCTCGTGATTAGATTGAGGTTATGCATTTTTGGCAGGACACGCGTGATGTTCGCTTCTCATCGTATCCCTCTAAGGGCATGTGATATCAACACTTATTACTTATTATTAGTAATTATAACTTATTGCTGGTGATACTAACCTTGATCACTTGGTTAAAGTGGTATCTGCTGGGTTTCTCCACTGTAGAGTTACTATGTTCTCCTCAGAACATCTTGGGGGACATACTTTTAGACTATGTAAATATCCTGTTTCCCCACTGATTTTTGTCATCCCTCCATGGATCTTGCCTGCAAGTATCATCACTAAGATGCTCTAAAGGTTATTTTCTATTTCCCCTATTCCATCTACATTTATTATTGGAATGTTTCTATAAGGAAAAACTGTCCTTTCTCCCCATTTATTTATGTATTCAGTTATTTATGTTGGTGCACATTCATGGATATGTATTTCATTCTATGGGTTATAATCCAGTCTTTGTTGTTGATTTTGTTGTCCAAAATGTTCAGCTTTGGCCACTGGGAGCTCTTTCGGGTTGGTTCCCTTGCTTTCTTGACACACCTCCTTCCTTCTTTTGAGCACATCCTCTCTAGCACCACAAGATGCTTCAGACTCATCTTGTATTTTCCCTGCCTCAGTCCTGAATCAACCACATCTCCAAAAAGTCTTGTAAATTCTCTTAAAAAAATAAATTAGCCATCTGTCAGCTAACATACGTTTTTTCTAATTCTTGATACAGTTTTTTTTTTTTTTTAATACATTTCTCTCTTGATCTCCTTCAGAGGCAGCCCTTAGGGAATTTAGTCTCACCAAGTGTGAACTATTGGCTCCTGACCTTTAGAAAAGAAACAAACCCTTGCCTACAACAGGAGGCTTATAGATCCATGTTTTCTTTGTCCTTGAAATTGTACAGGAACAGTCTGGCTTGTCACAGTAAATTAAAACTTCATCTCATCACATTTGTCATTTCAAGGCACGTTATAGTCTTCTATTATTTATTGCTAGCTTTAAAAATTTTATGCAATTTTGTTCTTTCGGTTGTCCGTTATGTAGTAATGCTTAGATGACTAGAAGATAACATGTAATCTAATAAGTGAAACATCTCAGGATATTGTTGTGACTTTGTGAAAATAATTTAATCCTTCAGCAATTTAGTTTAAGAGTTATTCTGGAGCTAATCTGATAATTAACAGTGTAAGTAGAAGTGTGCTAAAGATCTTGTTTTTTTTGCAAAGTTTGATTAATTTTGACATTGACAGAAAAAGGTATATTTTAATATGCTATGAGTAACCACTAGAGGGTAGCCCTGGGTAACCAATTGCCCATTTGCTGCTTATTTAAGTTGTCCTGACACAGAAAGATTGAAAATAAAGGTGGGCATGGGGAGGGAGGGTGCAGATAAAAGCAAGGGGAATTTAAAAGAAACTTGGAGTGACAATGTTATACAAAATGCAGTACAAGGAGAAAAGTATTAAAATGGACAAAGTTATATTTTTATATGTGATAAAAGGTATAGTCTACTAATATAAGGCAATCCTAAACCTTTATGCACCCAGAAACATATTGAAATATATCAATATATAAAAATATTTAAATGTTTATATAAAAATATTGTTTTTCTTAACATTCATAGGATTAAGGAGTTTATATTTTGCAGTCTTCTTGGTAGCTCTTCAAAACCCTAGACTTTGCCTGTAATCTCAATGAGGCTCAAAGGCCTCATGCCTTTGAGAGGCCCAGGACAGAGGGTTGCTTGAGGCCAGGAATTTGAGACCTGCCCCGGCATCATAGCAAGATCTCCTGTTTACAAAAAATAAAATTAGTTAATTAATTGAAAGTTTAAAAACCTTAGACTCATTGCACATAATAGTTTTACGAGGTTATGAGTAGTGTAGGCGAGAAAAGATTTTTTCCTTACCCATCTTCAGGTTCATGGCTGAGGTCCTATAGCAAAAGACAGATTAATAAGAGAAATGCATACAAATTTATTTCATATGGGTTTTATATAACATGGGAACCTTCATAAGGATATGAAAACTCAAACAGGAAAAACTTTTTATGCTTAGTTTGATGAAAAGTGGTCATAGGGAAGTATGATAAGATAAAAGGGATATAATCTAATAAACTGGGGAGAAGCTTGCAAGGCCTATTTGTTCACATTCTTCTCTGTATCCCTGTGTCTTCAGTGATAAGGACATTTCTTTCCTCCAGGGCATCTCTGGAATGAAGTTCTTACTGAGAAGAGAGGTCAAAGAATTCTTTCTAGGTTTTATAACCTGCTTTAGGGGAGAAGGGTCGAGGGGATAATGAGAGTGATTTTTCTGCTTTTGCTATTTCCTGAAATGCCAAAGTGCCATATTTTGGAATAACATGTTTTGAACCCCATCTGTAGTATCTTTAGACATCTTTTTGATGATCAAGTTAGATTTTAAAAATTCTATCAAAATAGTCAATACTTGAAAATATTCACTGTTGAGTAAAGTGGCCAGATAATGAGTTCTAAAAAAACAACTATGAAAGCAAAAAAAAAAAAAAAGGGAGGTGGGGACGGAAAATAAATCTGGGAAAATAAGTAAATAGGGTGAAACTAATCTAGTAAAAGTGAAATAAATTTGCATTTAATTCCTCAAAACATTTTTAAAAATCATAATTCTTGTTTCTGTGAAGAAAAGGCAGCTTCTCTCTAGATTAGCTCTGATCAGCTAATTGTGCAGTCTCTGAATGCAGTATTGGATGATGTTTTCAGTTTTCTTGTTTCTGTGGAGTGAAAAGACCATTTATTCAAGCTGAGCCAACTATCTGGGACTAGCAAATTCTACATCACTCGGCGTACTCCTGTGGTTTTCTGGTGATACTTGTTTTATGTTGGCTCCTTTTCTGCTACTGAGGTAGAGACTAAATTGACCACCTTTTAAGGATTACTAAATCTAGTCTTTTAGGCTAGAAGTATGTGATTAGTAAATGTTTTACTTCCTAAGTGAAGGGTTGTCTGTGGTTTCTATCTCAAATTTTGGCAAATTATATTTGGAAGTTTAATAAATTTTCATTGCTGTTACATCAGTGGCATTCATATCAATGAATAAAGCAGATTTTTCTAAAACAAGGGTGAAAATTTTATCATTAATATATCGTTAATAGTAGGCATACCTGTCTGAACAGATAGCTGATGAAAATTATCTCCCGTAGAACTCCCCCTGACCATTTCCTCCAGGTTGAACTGTTGAAGGCCTCTATTTAAATAGTATGCTAAGTTATAGTATTTAGGGGCAGGAACTTACTTGCTAAATCTTTTTTTGGCACTGAAAGTTAACAGAGAAATATGTCATAAGATTAGCTTTCAGTCCTCTGGTGGGGATGACCCTATGAACATACAGTCCAAAAAAGATTCCTAACAGTTCAGCCAAGTAAACATTCATTGAGCAGCTGCAATTTGCTAGGTTTTGTGCTACACACAGGGTTTAAAGAAGTGAACAAGAGGCGCATGAACTAGGCAACGCAGGGTCTAAGGCCTTCCAGACCAGCATCCCATGTAGCTGGGACTACAGGCATGGGGCAACATGCCTAGCTAATTTTTTAAATTTTTTGTCTCACTATGTTGCCCAGGCTGGTCTCAAACTCCTGGACTCAAGCAGTTCTCCTGCCTCAGCCTCCCAAAGTGCTGGGATTACAGGTGGGAGCCACCATGCCTGTTAGAAAGGTTTTTTTCCTAACTCACTTAGAAACTGCAACTTAGGGTTAGACCCTCTGTTCCTTGTTTTACTATCAAATAATGGCTGCACTAGGTAAGGTCTGAAGCCTGTTCCAGCTTTTAAATCCTAATTCTAACTGGTAAGAAAACTAAATTTGCTAAGGCTCCAGATCAAGTTGCTAGTTTAATAAGCAATGGCGTGTTCTATATCCTTTCCTCTCCATTTGTATACTTCCTTTTCTCTGATTTTGTACTTCAGTTCCTTGTCGTGTCCTCAACTTGATAATTATAGGAAGTTGGAATGTGAAGAAAACTGGCCATTTGAAAGCATACTGAAACACTATTTAATATTTTTTAGTTCAGACTTTTAACTTCAAGTTTGCCATATTTTATTATTCTAAAGTTCTGTTAAATTAGAAACTGGATAAATAATATGAGTGACTTGTTAGAGTTACTATTTCTTTAGATAGTAGATAATTTTTCTCTGGTTTTCATTGAAATCAGAAACATTTTGTTTAACTGTGGTTCAGTGCGACTTTCAGATGACCCTTGAAGCAACTGAGTGACAGTGGGGAAGCAACCTGTAGTTGAATGGATAACTGATAGTTGGTTATATGTGTTTATTTCTTTTCTCCATTTATAATTTTATAATATTTTCTTTATTATTATTATTATTATTATACTTTAAGTTTTAGGGTACATGTGCACAATGTGCAGGTTTGTTACATATGTATACATGTGACATGCTGGTGCACTGCACCCACTAACTCATCATCTAGCATTAGGTATATCTCCCAGTGCTATCCCTCCCCACTCCCCCCACCCCACAACAGTCCCCAGAGTGTGATGTTCCCCTTCCTGTGTCCATGTGTTCTCACTGTTCAATTCCCACCTATGAGTGAGAATATGCGGTGTTTGGTTTTTTGTTCTTGCGATAGTTTACTGAGACTGATGGTTTCCAATTTCATCCATGTCCCTACAAAGGACATGAACTCATCATTTTTTATGGCTGCATAGTATTCCATGGTGTATATGTGCCACATTTTCTTAATCCAGTCTATCATTGTTGGACATTTGGGTTGGACATTTGGGTTGGTTCCAAGTCTTTGCTATTGTGAATAGTGCCGCAATAAACATATGTGTGCATGTGTCCTTATAGCAGCATGATTTATAGTCCTTTGGGTATATACCCAGTAATAGGATGGCTGGGTCAAATGGTATTTCTAGTTCTAGATCCCTGAGGAATCGCCACACTGACTTCCACAATGGTCGAACTAGTTTACAGTCCCACCAATATTATAATTTTATAATATTTTCTAGAATGTAGAAGACTAGGATTTTAATTTCAGGTTTCCCATTAAGTAACTGAAATAACTATCCACTTGACTTCTGGAAACCTTAGTTTCCTCATTTATAAAATACAGATATCTAATTTGCATACCTTACAGTTAGTGAAAAGTCCAGGAAGAATCATCTTGTTAAACACTAAAGATCTGTAGAAATGTAAGCTACTGTTGTTGAAACATCACTAAGTGTTACCCTGGTTTTTTTTGTTTTTGTTTTTGTTTTTCTTTTTCTTTTTGCTAATAACAGTAGTGCATTTGTACGCAATTCCCCATTAGGAATTTAGAAATTTTATTTATTAAATATCTGACTGAATATAATAGATATAGTTAGAATGATGCAAATCACAGAGCCCCAGGTGACAAATAGCCCTCAAATCTTGTTTTCTGAGTCTATTTGGGTATAGTGAAAAAGATGAAACAAACCCACTAGCCAGCCTACCTCCAGTATTCCTGAACAGATAGCTCTCCATTTTCCTCTGATGATTATGGCAGAGCCTTTGATACACAGCTGACCTTTCTTTTGATCTATTGACATCACTGAAAGTGTTCTGCTTAATGAGTGGCCACATCAGTTTACATAAGGTTATTCTATTTAATACTTATTCTATGGATTTTTGGCATTTCACTATTTCCTTTCCATTTTCTGAAAACAATGTGGTCGATGAAAATTTTAAAACTGTGTCTTGACCTTGCCCCACGGGAAATTTGAGAAAGAAATTCTGTATACTCTGGAGTCCAGAACTGAAAATGTTCTCCATGACTTCAGGGGAAGAGATTAAGAAATGAAGATGAAGAACATGTGTCCTGCTTTTTTGGATGGAACCTTCATAATAGGTGAAATTTTTACAATTTTTAACACCTTTTCAGGGGAACTCCCAGGAGTCTTCAGAGATATATTTGATTATAAAATGAACTATTTTATAAATTTCACCTTTCAAAAATGGCACAAACTAGTTTCTACAAATTTTATACACATAATTGTAGCATATAATACATTCTTACAGTTTAGTCTACAAAGAGACTGAGGTAACCTATAATTGCCTAACATAATTCAGCTAGTAGGTGGCAGAGTTAGAACCAAAATCTGTGTTATCTCTGTAACACCTTGCTGCTTCACAAGCCTGTGAAAAGTTCTCACCGATGAGAAATGAATTAACTCTTACAGAGCAGAAAAAGGAATATTTAATACACCATAGGAGGTAATTGGCTGAATTAGAATAACAAAAGCAATGTTTTCCAGCTGTGTTACAGACTTCAAATTGCTTAACTGATTTTTTTAAGCTCCAATGAGGAGTTAGAGACAGTAACTAGATGCAGGTTTTTCTAATGAAGAAGCTGGAGGCAAAACGTAAGTAATTTAAGTAATATTAAACAACACACCGGGTCTGACCTACTCAAGATAGCTTTTCCTAGTTAATAGTAAAACTGACAACCTTGGTAATGTTAGTAACTCTAAAGTATTGAGTGCTTACTATTTTTTACAGAAAAGCGGAGCTGTACATTACACTAGTTAAAGTGGTAAAAACAGATTGTATTCAGGAACTACTGTAATAGGGGAAGAGAGACCTTAGTATAGAACAGGGTTCAATTCTGAATACAGCATAGACCAATGGGGATTTATAGCCAAAGAGCAAGATGGCATTAATGGATGAAAAATTACGGAGATGAAAGAAACTTAAGGAGTGGGGAGATTGTGGTTAAGCCAACCTAAAATGATTCTTGCTCAAGACAGGCTGAGTATTGAGATACCAAGGCGGGTGTTGGAGAGTGCAGGGATGCGGAATTTGATTAGATACTGAGGGTGATCAAATATTGAAGGTGAACAGATAGTGAGGGTAGGGGATTCTCTCTAAACTGACTGCAAGATTCTTACTACAACTGTGCTATGCAAAATTGAAACCAAAGATTAAGGTCTAGTTGAGAAGAGGATTCCAAGGAGCCTGACTTAAGTTTGGCCAAGGAAGGCATCTTGTCAGTTGCTCCTTTTGTTTGAGGAAATAAGCATTATTCTCTTCTCTCAGCAATCTAAGTCCATCTTGTGTTCAGTTCCTTTTCAGTAAAGACGAGCTGAACCATCTGTTGAGACTTCTTAATGTCTTGAGATCATGGGTAGAACTTATGCCCAGTTCGTGTAGCTGTTCTTTCTAAGTCACCACCTGAGTAACCAAGATCACCTACAACAGACCTGCAATGTTCTGGATACCTCTTTTGCTCTCATAGTGAGAGTGAGGTCAACTGGAGGGAGTGGGTGATTGTTTTAGAGATAACTTTAAAAAAGGAAAGAAATTGTGGGGAATCAAGTAGATGAAGGGATTAGTAAGATTAGAGAGGTAGCAAGATCCATTCCAGTTGGCTGGTAACAGCTAATAGGTTTGAGTTCCACAGACAGAATAAGAATCATTGAGCGCTAGCCTGGAGTCATAAGATAATTATCTGATGGCTGAAGGTGACCAAAGAATAAACATTTCGATGATTGAGAAAGGATTTTTTGGAGGTGGTCTGTGTGTGGTTGGGTTGGGTGAGAGAAATTAGGCTGAGAGGGGAAGTGGGGACATTTCCATTCGTATGAGAGATGTCCAGGAACCTGTAGTGGCTTGGAGGCATTATGTTACATTTAATGATGGCTGGAGAAGTGTAATGACAAATGCTTGTTCCCAGAAAAGAATTGATGGTAAAATTATGATGCGAGTGGACATGACCCTTGCAAGGATAGACTGGAGCATATTCAGAGGTTTTTCTCACAATGGGTATTTGTCTGGTTTAAAATGGTGTAAGAAAGGAGAGGGAAGGTATAGCAAAATAGGAATTCTGATTTCTCACAGGAATCTTGGAAATGCCAGATGTGCCCACAGGAAAGGAAGCACAGTACCCTCAGTCTGTGGCGTTATGGGAAGTGGTGACTAGTCCAGCCCAGGCTTGCCAAAGGCTCTGTGGATGAATAGTCTTGCTAACAGATAAGGAAAAGGCAGAGCTGGGCGAGAACAAGGAGCTCCTAAATTTAGGGACAGAAAAATGTAAGAGAAGACTAATCTCAGATGAGGAAAAGTCATAGTGAAGGCTGTGAACCTTAAAGGCAATCATCAGTCTATGAGAAATTAGGTACCCACATCCTACAATAGCCCACAAGATCCAAAAACCTCTGTTATTTTGTTTCAGGAAGAGGAAAATGATGAATAGTAGAAGCTCTGCCTGTGAAGATAATTTTACCTGCAGCTGAAATACCATGACCCAGATATTGAACACACAGAATAATTAAACTTTTCCTCTAGAAACTTTGTGGTCTTTTCTTGCCATTGCCTTAAAGTATTCAGTGTCCTAAAGGGAGTTGTCATAACTGAAAGTGCATAGAAAGAGGTCATTTACATATTGGATTACAGTGGAGTCTTCTGGGAATTTTAAGTCCATCAAATAGGTTCATGAGAAATATGTAGGGCCATAGTAAATCGTTGGGGCATAACAGTCCAGGTGTATTGTTTATTTTCCCAGGTGAAGGCAAAGTAGTGAGATTCTTTATGAGGGGAATATTATAAAAGGCAGAACACAGCCGAGAGCGGTGGCTCATGCCTGTAATTTCAGCACTTTGGGAGGCTGAGGCAGGCTGATCACAAGGTCAGGAGATCGAGACCATCTTGGCTAACATGGTGAAACCCCGTCTCTACTAAAAATACAAAAAATTAGCTGGGCGTGGTGGTGGATGCCTGTAGTCCCAGCTACTTGGGAGGCTGAGGTAGGAGAATGGCGTGAACCTGGGAGGCAGAGCTTTCAGTGAGCTGAGATCAAGCCACTGTACTCCAGCCTGGGCGACAGAGTGAGACTCTGTCTCAAAAAAAAAAAAAAAGGCAGAACACAAATGAATCACCATGAAATATTGCATGTTGGAAGAGATAACAGACAGATAGTGTTAGGATTAGGCACCAAGGGAAATCTTGATTTGACAGTGTAATTGATAGATCCCAGGAAGGAACTGATATCCTTTCTCACTTGACTTTTTAATAGCCAAATGGGAGTAATGCATGGATTAGAAGTGGGGTCTTATGTCTAATAAGCCTCTCATTATCAGGGAGAGCAACTTCTAGTCCTTGTGGTTTTAAACGATATTGGGGAATCCTGGGGAGAGGCTTGGAAGGATCTGTTTCTACCTTATATGGGTTCTGTATCGCATATACCTTAGATAATTTTAATAGTTTGCTTAAATCTTTATTTAAGTAGATAGGTTGAAGTGGGCAAAGGAACTCTCTGCTTAGGGGAAGTCAGACAAAACCATTAGGGGACATAGACATGAAGAGGAAGACTCAGGGGTGGGTAGAAGCAGTCCAGCAGGAATTTTTGTACCTCCATTCATGAGAAGATACTTTCCACACAAGTTTACTGGGGTAGTGGAGCTGAGTAGAAAATTATGTTGACCTTTAAGAGGTCCCTTAGAGATATGAGGATGAGCTGGGGGCAAAGCATCAAAACCCACCACTGGTAAAGTTTGGTGACTGTGGGGAAGGGGGCAGGAAGTGAGGTCACGTTGAGGGTAGAATGTGTTGTCCTGGTATCGATGAGAGACGTGGAGGCCCTTTAACTTGTAGCATTATTTCTTCATGCAAGTTTAGTAGTAGTTGAGGGCATTGGGACATTTGCTTCTCTGGAGGAAAATAGACAGTTCTCTGGTGAGGAGGGGGACTTGGGTTTTTCCCTCCTCTTGAGCATTGGGCAATTCCAGGCCCAGTGTCTTTTTTCCTCACGATATCAGCACATTGTTGAGATCAATGGGAGCCTTCCATTGTGGAGCTTGCTGTGAGTTAAAAATTTCAGGTTTTTCCAGTTGTTTTAACTGCAGTGCCACAAGCTTACATTGTATATTTTCCAATGTTTTTGAAATACTATTTTCATATTATTGGGCTAATGTCTGGAGCCTAGACGTGTATACATTTTGTTAATTAATATTATTTTTCTGTAATGTGTCATGGAGGTCTGGCCTGAAACTATTTACAAAGATTGCATGGCCTGAGCAGAGGCTGTTTGGAAAGTCAGTTCCACCCCTGAATTCTCTTTCCATGTTGTCTTTAATTGATGGTGATAGCCACAGTTTCATCAGTTTGTTATTTACAATGTTAGATATGTGACCAATCAATTTTAATGGGAGAGATTTGATGGATGGCTCCTAGTAATTTCTTACTTCCCTCGGGGTATCAGGGGTAGCCTGAGACCCTTGTGCACCCAAGGAAGGAACTGAGGTTCATCAGAAATAGTGGTCCATTTAGCTTTTTCAAAGCAAAGGGAGGCATTTCCAGGCCCAACCAACAGGCAGATAAGTTGATTTAAATCACGGAATCCCAGAAAGTATGCACCTAGAATGATTCTAAATTGTTCAACAAACCTTTCCCTTTCCTTTCTGTGGTCAGGAAAGTATTTGGTGATAGGATGCAATTCAGACCTAGACCAAGGTTTAAATGTTCTCTCTTCTATTAGCCTCACTTGGGAACAGGTACTGGCTGATCCTGGGCTTCATCTGAAGGAGATGGAGGCCAGTGAACCTTTTGGTTACAGGGAGGTGAGGGACTGGAGGAGGGGGCAGATGGTGGAAGAGAGTTTGGGAGAGGAGGCTATAAAGGAAAGCTGGGAGGGGAATATGGAGGTGCTGTTGAGAGCTCTAGGAACTTTACTGAGTCAGAAAAATTTTTCTACAGACAGTGCGAAAGAGCCTCAGTAGTTTGACTGAGATTTGAATTATTTAGCTGTTTTTTGGCTTCTTAATACCAAGTGAAATAAGCAGACCGCTGTGCATCCAAAAGCTTTGTTCCTTTTTGCTCTAGGGCTGTTTTTAGATGGACTAATTTAGGGATATACGAGGAGCCCCCACCATAGCTGAAGAGAGTTTTTGGTAAGGCTTTGCCAGTGAGAAAGCAAGCAGACAGTATTAGAACTATAGTGGCAAAGCAGGAGTTTGATAAAGTGAGGTTTCAATTGAGAAGTTCCCATGGGAGAAGCAGGATTAAACAGACAGAAGAGAGAGGCCTTATAAAGAGCAGGGAAAAAATTCCAGCCCAGGCACTGGGGAGTGGATCCCCACTGGAAACAAAGAGCCAGGAAAAGTCTTCATCCCAGGAGACAAAGATCCAGGAAGAATTTTCCAGCCAAGAGCCAGGCTCAGGAGTCAGGGAGTAAATGTCTTCTTGACGCAGTGAGCCCCAGAAAGAAAGACGTCTAGCTGAGTAGATGCCTTTCAAACAAAGAAGTCTGGGCCTCTAATCCAGCTTCAGACAATGTAATCAGAATCTTAATCAAAATCTTTCCTCACTGTGATTCGATGGACATTTATCTGGAGCACTGGATATTGGAGTCACTCACCACCAGATACCCAAAAAGCAAGCAGACTGAAGACAAAGTCTTGGTGTATGCTTAGAGATTGGTTATTGTGTCCAAGAGTCTAATGGTGGTTCAGATCCAGATCTGAATCATGGACGAAAAACTGTTAAAGAAAAATAAGAGATAGTAGTTAAAATGGTAAAAACAGATTTTATTCAGGAAAAGCTGCAATAGAAGAAGGGATTCCAGTATAGAACTGGGCTTAATTCCATATAGAGAGCATGCACAAGTGGGGATTCCTAATTCCAAATAGCATGGTCAAGAGAGCAGGGATGGGGGTCAGTGGATGAAAAATTACTAAGAGGAAAGAAACATCACAGGTAAGGCGATTCTGGTTAAACAGAACTAACAGGATCCTTGCTGCAGGTTGGCCAGGGTGATAAGATACCAAGGGTGGCAGTGAGGAATTTGATCAGATATTGAGGGTGATTTCAATATCTGGGGAGTTCTTTCTCAACTGACCTTGTAAGATTCCTGTTACAACTGGGTGATGTAAAGAGGAACACAGAAATCCAAAGCTCTAGGCCTAGTTGAGATGAGGTTCAGAAGAGCCTGACTAAAGTTTGGTCAAGGAGAGCATTTTATCACTGTGTGCAGGACGCTATACCAAGTACTTTATGAAAATGAGCTAACTTAATCCCCAAGTCAACCCTATGTGATAGATATAACTCCTTTTTTACATAAAAGAGAATTGTTGCAAAGAAGTTAAGTAAACTGTCCAAGGTCACACAGCTAGCATGTATTAGAGACAATATTTAAACTTGAGTATCTGACTTCAACCATTAGTATTTACTGCCTCCTGGACTCCTTGGGGCCTCCACATCTCCTTTGGTGTGTTGTTTGGTTAGAATATGTGTGATGTTTCAATGATCTCTAAGAGTTAAACTGTGTTTGAAGTTAAGAGTTAAAGGGAAGTATTTGGATCTATAGGTGACTGATTACAAATTTAGTTTAATAGATAGTAATTGAGTAATTTAGTTACATAAGAATTTAAAAGGGGGCACCATATATTAAATGCCTATAACATCACTCTGGTTATTAAAATTATACATTAGACTTTAAGGTAGTGACTCAAGACAACATAATCAATAGGTCAAAAAATTATCACAAGAATGTGTGCTAAGAAAAGGCCATAAGATGGTTTCATGCCCTTTTCCTCCTGATAGGTTCACTTATATGTGTGACCCTGATGCTGAGCTTGAGTTTCTGTTAGTACTTATGATAACTAATCTTCATAGGACCTGCTTCTAATGATTTTGGTATCCTAAATTCTGGGCACTGGTGAGTAATAATGAGGTCACTTTGTAGTTTAGCAGACTCTCACTTTGTTTCTTTTAATATGGAAATTAGAGTTCCAAGTTCTTGAAGGTAAGAAACACCTGCCACTAAAAAGAAGGTTAAAATGTCCTCCTGAAGAAATGTTGTATCTGGCTGTTATTAAAAAGCCAAAAATTAATGGATGATGGCGAGATTGTGGAGAAAAGGGAATCCTTACACACTGCTGGCGAGAATGCAAATCAGTTCAGCCCCTGAGGAAATCCCCAGTTTGGAGATTTCTCAAACTAAAATAGAATTACCATTCCACCCAGGAATCCCATTACTAGGTATATACTCAAAGGAAAATAAATTGTTCTACCAAAAAGACACCTGCACTTTTATGTTTATCACAGCACTATTCACAATAGCAAAGATATGAAATCAACCCAGGTACCCATCAAAGGTGAATTAGATAAAGAAAATATGGTACATATACACGAAGGAATACTACACAGCCATAAAAAGAACAAAATCATGTCCTTTGCAGCAGCATGGATGCAGCTGGAGGTCGTTAACCTAAGTGAATTAACACAGGAACAGAAAATCAAATACTGCATGTTCTCACTTATAAGTAGGAGCTAAACACTGGGTACGCATGGACATAAATATGGGAAAAATAGACACTGAGGACCTAGAGCCAGGAGAGAGGGAAAAGAAGAAGGGTTGAAAAACTACTTATTGGGTACTTTGTTCACTACTTGGGTGATGGGATCATTAAAAGCCCTAACAGCTTCACACAATATAATGGTATAACAAACCTGCATGTGTAATAAATTTAAAAATTAAAAATTTTTAAATGCCATATCCTTATGCTGATTTCTGTGAACATATACATGGCTCTTTTGCCTCATTTAGGTCAAGAAGATGTTCCTTTTTGAATACAAATCTCTCTCTAAAGGATACTTTTTAACCATTCTCACTTTATTGTTCAAGCCGACCTTGTATAGTGAAGTTTTTGTTGCTTTGAAAATAGGAGTAGTAGGCCAGGCGTGATGGCTCACGCCTGTAATCTCAGCACTTTGGGAGGCTGAGGTGGGTGGATCACCTGAGGTTAAGAGTTCGAGACAAGCCTGGCCAACATGCAACATGGTCTCTACTAAAAATACGAAAATTAGCTGGGCGTGGTGGAGGGCACTTGTAATCCCAGCTACTCAGGAGGCTGAGGCAGGAGAATGGCTTGAACCTGGGAGGTGGAGGTCTCAGTGAACCAAGATCACACCACTGCACTCCAGCTTGGGTGACAGAGTAAGACTCTGTCTCAAAAAAAAAAAAAAAAAAAATAGGAGTAATATTTAGTCTGTGTTTTTTTCCTTGTAGAAAAGACTTTATTCTAAGGAAGACCATGCAATGCACTGTCCATGTCAGCAAAGAGATGTTTATACCATAGTGTTTGAATAGATTTGGGCATAAATACTTTAAAAAATATAATAAGGTCACTAGACCCTGGGTGGGCTTGGGATAGAAGACAAAGTTGCGAAAGAGGCTCTGAGAACAGAGTTGGAACTAGATAAAGGTGTGCCTGCTTTACAGTTTTTCTTGAGTTCATCATTTAACACAATGCCTCTGAAAGTAACTTACTGCTGTCTTTGATAGGAATGCATATTGGTGTATTGCCAGTGCCACAGCTGGGATGTCTGGACTAATTTTGAAGGTTGCAAACTGCCACGTACCCACCTTCAGACCTGTCTTGACTTTCTGGCCTTTCCCCACACTGAATGAATGGAGTGGGAGGGAAGAGCCTAGACAGAAACATATGTTTTCTATTTATTTCTTCCTACTTCTTTTTTTTTTTTGAGATGGAGTTTCGCTTTTGTCACCCAGGCTGGAGTGCAGTGGTGCAATCTTGGCTCACTGCAACCTCTGCCTCCCGGGTTCAAGTGATTCTCCTGCCTTAGCCTCCTGAGTAGCTGGGATTACAGGCATGCACCACCACACCCAGCTAATTTTTGTATTATTATTAGAGATGGGGTTTTACCATGTTGGCCAGGCTGGTCTCGAACTCCTGACCTCAAGTGATCCACCCGCCTCGGCCTCCCAAAGTACTGGTGTGAGCCACCATGCCCGGCCTTCCTACCTCTTTTCATACCCAATGCTTAGAGGTTTTCCTTTGAGTTGTGGATATGAAGACCTATAAAGTATTTGCTAAAAAATATCTCCAAGTAAATACAGTCTCTGTACAATATTTCTTGAATTTGTAAATTTGAAAACCAGAGATGACAATTTGTTTGGTAAATACATGGATAGTTTGAAAGCTTAGTAAGATCCAAGTTTCATTTATTTTTATTTTTTTCTTGTTTCCAGTAGGCTTGGAAGAGTCCAAATTTTAGACATGTATACAAAGGCAGTACATGAATTGGAAAGAAGAGGGAAGTTAATACTTCTAGCTTTTCTCTTTTAGAGAGATTAGCTTTCTATTATTTTAACAGAATAGCTTACCAAAATGTTCTTTCCCTATTTTGTGATGAACATAACTGAAATCTTGTATCTAATTAAATTCAATTCCTACCTAAAAGTTTTCACAAAAAAGATTATAGTTCATGTTTATGACTAAAGAAACAAACAGAAGTTGTTTATAAAGTGTTTGGTGGAAATTTTAATGTCCTTGTTTTCACCAGTTAAATTAATGATGGCTTGAAAGTCTTTCTTCTTTCTTGAAAGTTTTCTTTTCTTTGAAATGCTATTTGTTTTTCTGGTTATTGGTTACTTGTGGACAGATAGCAGTTGTGAAGACATAAACTACCGATTGTTAAAAATTTCAGCATTCTCTTTTTAAAAGAAATCGGCAAGCCAATTCTAAAATTTATATGGAAATGCAAGGACGTAGAATAGCCAAAATAATCTTGAAAATGAACAAAGTAGGACTCACTTACCTTTGAAAGTTACTCTAAAGCTATTGTAATCAAGACTGTGTTATTGGCAAAAGGACAGATATATAGATCAATGGGATCCAGTTGGATCTGATCCAGTCAGATCCAGTTCCAAAAATAGAACTACACATATGTGGTCAAATTTGATGAGGATGCTGACGTGATTTAATGGGAAAAAGAAAGTGTCTTCAACATATGGTGTTCGGAAAGGTGTTTTTCCACATGCAGAATAAAAAGGACTTTGATTCCTACCTTACACCACAGACAAAAATTAACTTGAGATGAATCAGGACCTAGACTTAAAAGCTAAAACATTACAATTTCTAAAGGACAACATAAAAATATCTTTGCAATTTATCTTAGGACACAGAGAGCACTACCATTAAAAAGTTGATAAATTGGACTTCATCAAAAATAAAAACACCTGCTCATCAGAAGATAACGTCAAGTAGATAAGCCTTTGTTACAATTATATTTGACAAAAGGCTTGTGTCCAGAATATATAAAGAATTATTCAATTATTAAAAGAAGGCAATCAACATTTTTAAATGGGCAAAAGATTTGAACAGACATTTCATAAAATAAGGAATATCACTGGTCAAAAAGCACATGAAAAAGTGCTCATGATCATTAGTCATCAGGGAAATGCAAAGTGAGATGCCACTGGCTACCCACCAGAATGGCTAAAATTAGCAAGATTGATCATACCAAATGTTGGGGAGAATGTAGAACTGTCAGTGATTGCTGGTGGGGGTATAAAATAGTACAACTACTCTGGAAAATGTTTGGCAGCAATTCCACTTCTATGTACTTATCCCAGAGAAATGAAAATATATACCTACAAAAGTCATATGTAAGAATGTTCATGGCCACTTGATTGAGAATAACCAAAAACTGTAAAAGCCCAGTGTGTATGGTAGGAAAAAACCAATTTTCTCCTACTGTACTCTTAACACAAAGGGTATAGTGACCAGATGTGTGGATTTTTCTCACACTGACCAATTCTCTGATGCTAGCCGGATAGCCTATATTCAATTCACTTCTGACACTAACTAGAGCTCATGCAGATCTCTCATGGATTAAGAGCTCAGTCTCACAAGACTGTGCCCTACTTCATATACCAATTGCAAGCAGTAGGTTCCCAGGTCACCACAACTTCTGACCAGTTTGGTCACAAGTGGGAGGTTACCACAACCCCCTTCTCAGGTTCAGTAATGTGCTAGAGCAGCTCATAGAACTCAGGGAAACACTTATATTTATCAGTTTATTATAAAGGATTGTTTTAAGGGATACAGGTGAACAGACAAAGAAGTACTCTGGGTAAGATATGTAGGAAGCGGCATGGACCTTCCATGCCCTCTCTGGGTGTTCCACCCTCCTATCATCTCCATGTCTTCAGCATCCCAGATGCTTTCTAAACCCTGTAGTTTAGGGATTTTTATGGAGGCTTCATCATACAGGCTGAGCATTTATTAACTCATTTTTCAGCCCCCTCCTTTTCCTGGACGATGGCATAGTGTGTCTGAAAGTTCCAGGCTTCTAATTATGGCTTGGTCTTTCTGGTGACCAGCCCCCATCCAGGAGCCCACCAAGAGTCACCTCATTAGAACAAAAGACACTCTTATCAATGCCCAGGAAGTTCCAAGGGATTAGCAACTCTGTTAGAAACTGGCGCCACAGACCAAATATTAGAACAAAAGATGCACCTAGCATCCCTCTTGCTCAGGAAATTACAAGAGTTTTGGGAACTCTCTGCGAGGAACCAGGGTCAGGGATCAAATACACATTTCTTATTGTATCACAATATCACATCCAGGTGCCCATCAGCAAGAGCCTAGACAAGCAATCTGGTATATCCATACAGTAGAACACTGCTCGGCAATAAAAAAGAACAAATTGCTGATACATGTAATGGCAAGGATAAATCTCAGAAGCATTAAAGGACATGAAAGAAGCCAGACACAAAATACTTTATACCGTATGATTCCATTGATATAAAGTTATAGAATAGTTAAAACTAATCTGTGGTAACAAAAATCGGATCAGTAGTTGCTTCTGGTTGTGGAGGGAGGGGAATGTTGACTGAGAAGAAGCAAGAGGGAATTCTACAGGTTGATAGAAATGTTCTATCTTCTGGTAGGGGTGTGGGTTATATAGGTATAGTCACTTACCCAAACTGATCAAACTATAGACTTAAGATATCTGCATTTCACTATATTTAAATTATAACCTCAAATTAAAAAATCTCACACAAAAAATAGCAAGGTATTTTCCTATCTCTTATTCTGACTCTCTTTCTTATTCTCTTAAAGTATTGGACAGCCCAGTCCCACTATACTGAGGCAATTTTTGAAAGAAAATAAAATTTATTACTTTTATTATCTTTTAATGTATCCACTATACTCTATATAGGGCATCATTTAAACTCTTTTTCAGTCTTTGTTGTTGTTGTTACAGTGAAGAAGAAAAGCTATCCAGAAGAACAAAATAGCACAGCCGTGTAAACTTGCAATGATTTGGCAAGTTTTTGAAGTTATTTAATCCTGATAAGTTAAAATCCCTTGAAGCATATTTATACATTCATCTTTCCAGACAGCTACTGCTTATTTGCTCTTTCATTCAAGTGAAGGTTATTGAGCACCTCCTATGAGTAGATGTTTTATCAGATACTGAGTAGGCATGCTACGATGAGTACGCAACCAAGTCCCTGCCCTTAACAGCATTCCTAGTTTAGAAGTGATAAATACAAAACTAAATTCCATTGCAACAAGAAAGGTACAGCACTGTACAAACTGCTGCTGTGCATTCTTTTGAGGAAGCAATGTCTTCTGCCTTGGGTGCTTGGGAAGATTCCACAGAGGAAGTGACATTTGAGCCAGTTTGTATGAATAGTTAGAGTTGTGGATAGGAGTTGGAAGAAGGGGGACATTTTAAGAAGATGACTAGAAGTGTAATTGAATAGTTTAGTGAGTCTTTTATTCTCCCTAAACCTTTAGGTAAAGGTTCTGTTAGTATCTACTGAAATAGAAGTCTTTTGCAGTAGCATAGTCAGTGTTTAAACTAGGACACCAAATATTTTCCGGTTTTTCCCTCACCAATAGCAGCTAATATTTATTGAGAACAAAGGATGTGACAGGTACTCTGCTTAATGTTTTAATTTAATTTAATATAATCTCCATAGCAATTTAATGCATTAATATTACTGTCCCTATAGATTAGGAAAATTGAGGATTGAAGTAATACCCTTTATAAGTGGACAAGCTGGGGATTCTTTCCCAGGTTTCTTTGCCTCCCAAGCCTGGGATCTTTAAAATGCCTACTCTGTGTGTGTTGCTCTTAGTATGAGCCCAGAGAAAGCAAGCCAAGGCAACTCTGAAGTGTCTTGCAGTCACTTAAAAGAGGGGGGATTTACCTGTTTTCCAAAATATGGCCTGCCCACCTTTTGTATTTAAGTTTCAGTTCATTGCCAATATGTATAATTATTTATAAACTCAAAATAATCTGTTTTATTTTTATTTCTATCTACATGATACTTTAATTTCATGTATGAAAAATTGCCAAGTAATCATTCTCTAAGCTTTCTACAGTATCCATTTTATAAGTTAAAGAATCATAGCAGTAAAAACTATAAGCTCTTTATAGCCATTTCACTCTAATTATTAGAGTGAGAACCTTGAAGATTTTGCCCTTTGAAAATGACTTGTTATTTGGGCAATCTGGCTTCTCACTATTTAACAAGTGTTGCTTAATGTACCATGTAGGAACATTTGATGTGCTCCACAGCCACTCACAGCTTCTGATAATTCTGTTTGTGCCAGCCTTGAGAGATCACTGAGTGGTAGTTTAAGATTGTGCTCCAGTATAAAAGTGGCAAGGTTTGTCTTTTAAACAAACATGTATTTTTTTCAGAGTAGAAGATAAATTTTTGACTAAATCAGTCATTTGCCGTACTCTAAAATTCATTTTAGAAACTTGGTTTTAGGTTTGTAGTTTTTGCCCAAATGACCACTTAACATGGGACACCCACCCTAACCCCTACCTCTTTCCCAGGAAAATTAGATTTTTGTCCAAGATTCCACCAGTATTGAATATTTGCTCTTGCCAGATATCTTGTCAAAGGTACATTGTCTGCTTTTGGTTGACCAATGGGGTATGGGTTGTTATGCCAGATGAGTGTCACCTAGTAGTGGAATTAGAAAATCATCAACCAAGGGCCCGACATAGTGGCTCACATCTGCAATCCCAGGGCTTTAGTAGGCCAAGGTGGGAGGATTGCTTGAGCCCAGGAGTTTGAGACCAGCCTGGGCAACATAGCAAGACCTTGTCTGGTGACACACACCTGTAGTCCTAGTCACCCAGGAGGCTGAGGTGGGAAGATCACTTGAGCCCAGGAGTTCTATGAGCTGCTCTAGCACATTACTGAACCTGAGAAGGGGGTTCTGGTAACCTCCCACTTGTGGCCAAACTGGTCAGAAGTTGTGGTGACTTGGGAACCTACTGCTTGCAATTGGTATATGAAGTAGGGCACAGTCTTGTGAGACTGAGCTCTTAATCCATGAGAGATCTGCATGAGCTCTAGTTAGTGTCAGAAGTGAATTGAATATAGCCCACACTCTTTCTGTAATACCACACTTCCTTAGTAATAAGAAATAACAAAATATTTAAAAGTAATAACTTCCAGTTAAATCTTTTTAGGACATAACTTCTCTCTTTCAGACTCCGTTTTAAATGATACTTCATTTTGTGGTCCAAAATCTCTTCTTCCTACATATTTCAATAGCATTTTACCTATACTTATACCTAGACCTCTCTAGAAGATTTATCTTCATAACATATTTGATTTTTATAGCACTTTACTTCTTTTATGACACATTATCATGTTATTTTCTATTAATCACGCATTCACATAGTTGATTAGTTCCTCCAGGACCATAAACTCCTTGAGGTAAGATCTGTCTATTGGATCTTTGCACCCACCTCAGTACCAGCATGCATGAAGAAAAAAGTGTGAAGTACTCCTTGGTCTACTATAGCATTAGGAAGCTATCAACCCATTATTCTGCTTCCATTAAATGTTTTCCAATGCATGATGGTTAGTGACTTTTTAAATTTAATTCTTAATTTTTCTTAGAGTCAGAATATTGCTCTGTTGCCCTGACTGCAATGCCACGATCATAGCTCACTGCCTCAGGCTCCTGAGTAGCTGAGACGACAGGTGCATGCCACCACACACAGCTAATATTTCATTTTTTTGTAGAGTTGGGTTTTGGAATCAGACTTGTCTGTACATGTCTACCATTTAATAACTGTCATGCATCACATTGCTTCATACTTTGAACTTCAGTTTTCTCAAGTGTAGCATCATAGAGGAGTTGTGATTATCTAAATGATTAAATGGGATTACACTTTTAAAAGCTCCTACAAAATGCCTGGCACCTGGTCACTTTTCATTATATGCTGGTTCCTTTTGTTCTCCTGTCTGACCCAGTTCAAAGTCCCTTCTGTCCCATTAGCTTGTTTTATGAACATGGAGGCAAGGATTCTGGGTAGGAGGCAGTTGTAGTACTTCATTCATTAAGCATTTGCTGACTACTTTGTATAGTGGAAATCCAGAGGAAGGGATTGTTATTATTATTATTGTTATTATATTTTGAGACCGGGTCTCACTATGTTGCCCAGGCTGAAGTACAGTGGCACAATCATGGCTCACTGCAGCCTCAACCCCCCAGCCCAAGTGATAATTCTACCTCAGGCTCCTGAGTAGCTGAGACGACAGGTGCATGCCACCACACCCAGCTAATATTTAATTTTTTTGTAGAGATGGGTCTCACTGTGTTGCCCAGGCTGGTCTTGAACTCCTGGGCTCAAGCGATCCTCTCGTCTAAGCCTCCTGAAGTGCTGGGATTACAGGCATGAGCCACTGCACCTGGCCTAGGATTAACTATTTTATAGGCATTTAGGAAGTAGAATGGGTTAGATACAGGAATTCAGGGAGAATTAGGGGAAGGTGGATAGAAAAGAGGCTAAACTGATTTTCTTCTATAATCTTTGGAATCAAACGAAGAAGGGCAAATTGATTATTCTTCTCAGGAAAAGATTTACTTTATCTTTAAACGTATAGGTAACATTAGCTGTCTTCTACCTGATAAATTTGTTTTCTATAAGTTTTGTACCTTTTTTTAAAAAAGAAATTATTTGTATCATAAAGGACCTAAATAATATACATGGCATGAATGTACATCTGCCTGTGAATGCTGAATTTATTCTAGAAAATATTGCTTTGCACTCTTTGATTCTAGCTTGTGTTGCTGACCTCACTAGTATAATTATTGGCTGACTTTGTCTCTTTTTCCATTTCCTCCCAATCAGTTTGGTAAAGGTTGCTCTTACAACATCTGTCACAGCTTTGGAAAGGAAGGCAAGAGGACAGACTATACACCTTTCAGTTGCCTGAAGATTATTCTATCCAATCCACCAAGCCAAGGGGATTATCATGGTAAGTGCCTCCACTGGATATGTTGGCCAAGTACAGAAATCCAAGAGCTCTGTTGGAAACACTGAAACAATGCTGCGGCTTTTTGCATTCCTGTCAGGACCTAGTTTGTAGCTTATGTCAGTCGTCACTGTCAAGCTAGAGCTCCATTACTCTTAGAACAATTTGTCTTATTACTGAACTAGGTCAGGCAAGAGAAATTCATTCAGCTGCACTTCAGTTTGTGCTGGATTAGGCTTTTCAGTTCTCACTTTCTTCCTTCCCGCTGTTCTCTGTCTCCCTCATCTTCTGCAGTGTTCTGCGAGTGTCTTAGAGGGCGATGTAAGTTTTACAAAGCTTTTTGAAATTAGAATATTCTAAGTTTGGAATAGTAGATTCATTAATTTTCCAAAGGCTAACTACTAAGGAAAAGTGTGAGGTTTTTTTCTTATCACCATCATCTGATTAACCAACAAAGATTAAGTGGGCAATTTAACATGTCGTGATATCTGCCATAACTATCAGTTTGCCTGAGTTATTTATAAAGAAAAACAAAACATCTCATTTGTCTGGTATGTCCAAGAATGAATTAATAGTTTATATCAGTAAATTTTCTGGATTATCAAAGCTTACTACAGTATGTGTCAAAACTTATTTTTGTTTTAGAATCTTAAACACTTTTTAAAAGACTGCACACTTTTGGACTGCTAAAGATCAAATAATCATAAACAATATTTTTAGAAAGACATTCTATGTGACCAAATCATTAAAAAATGCCTATATATTCATTAGTTAATAGATGAAGAAGTGGCCAGCACTAGTTATATAGATAGGCAGATAAGATAGATCTATATATAGACATAGATTTTTTTTTTTTTTGAGACAGAGTTTCGTTCTTGTTGCCCAGGCTGGAGTGCAATGGTGCAATCTCGGCTCACTGCAGTCTCCACCTCCTGGGTTCAAGCAATTCTCCTGCCTCAGCCTCCTGTGTAGCTAGGATTACAGGCACCTGCCACCCAGCCTGGCTAATTTTTTGTATTTTTAGTAGAGACGAGGTTTCGCCTAGTTGGCCAGGCTGGTGGGCCTCAGGTGATCTGCCCGCCTTGGCCTCCCAAAGTGCTAGGATTACAGGCCTGAGCCACCACAACCAGCCTGGTAATAGATATTGAGTGGTTTTTATCACTTATTTCAGAGTCCCTTGAGGTACTTTTTTAGAAATGCAGATTCTCAGGGTGCACCCTCAGTCATATAAAATCAGACTTTATTTGCAAGTACACTGGGTGAGTTTTATGTCTTCTAAAGTTTGAAAACCATGGGTCCAGGTACTTCTGTTGAGGAAGCCTGAAGCCTTTTTTAGCTTAGCAGCCATACCAGGCAGTCAACTTATGATTAAGCTTGTGGCCAAGTAAAACTCCCAGGGATTTGTCTGCAAATTTCCAGGTTCTAGCATTTGTCTCTTAATTAGTTGGTTTTCTTTAGCTTAAATGCAAAACTTTATTTCTGTTAAGTTGTATCTTGTTATCCCAGTGCTTTATGTTATTATTTTGTTTCTAAGTTCAACTCTGTCAGTCAAGAAATATTATACTTAGCACTCAATGAACTCATTATTTGTTGGACATTTACTTACTCCGTTTTTAAAAAGTAATAAACTTAATTTTTTAGAGCTGTTTTAGGTTCACAGCAAAATCGTGTGGGAAGTTCAGAGTTCCCGTATACCTCCATGCCCCAACATACGCACAACCTCCGTTGCTGTCAGTATCCCACACCACACTGGTACATGTGTTACAATTGATGAACCTACATTGACAAATCCTTATCATCCAAAGCCCATAGTTTACAAGAGTTCATTGTGTATTTTGCATAACAGTACTTTATCAGATTTGTCTTTTGCAAATGTTTTCTCCCCATCTGTGCTTCTGTTCTTTTCTCTCTTTTTTCACCTTTTGGGATTTCATTTACACACACGTTATACCTTTTATAGTTGTCCCATAGTTCTTAGGTATTGTATTTTGTTTTGTTTTGTTTTTGTCTTTTTTCTCTTTGCTTTTTAGTTTCAGAAGTTTCTATCTGTCACATCCACAAGATCCAAGGATTTTCCCCAGTCATGTCCAGTCTACTGATGAACCTATTGAAGACATTCTTCATTTCTGTTACAGTGTTTTTGATCACTAGCATTTCTTTTTTGTTCTTAGAATTTTCATGTCTCTGCTAGCTGGTTATTCCAACACATTTATTGAATAGGGAGTCCTTTCTCCATTGCCTATTTTTATTGACTTTGTTGAAGGTCAGATAGTTGTAGGTATGCTGTCTTATTTCTGATTCTCTATTCTGTTTCATTAGTCTATGTGTCGGTTTTTGTACCAGTACCATACTGTTTTGGTTACAATGGCCTTATAGTATAGTTTGGAGTTAGGTAGAGTGATGCCTCTGGCTTTGTTCCTTTTGCTTAGGATTGCTTTGGTCATTTAGGCTCTTTTTTAGTTCCATATGAATTTTAGAATAGTTGTTTTCTTATTCTGTGAAAAATGACATTGGTAGTTTGATAGAAATAGCATTGAATCTGTACATTACTTAGGGTGGTATGGCCATTTTAATGATATTGATTCTTCCAATCCATGAGCATGGAATGTTTTTCTGTTTGTGTTGTCTCTGATTTCTTTCAGCAGCGTTTTGTAGTTCTTCTTGTAGAGACCTTTCACTTCCTTGCTTAGATGTATTCCTAAATATTTTATTTATTTATTTTTTGGTGGCTACTGTAAACAGAATTGTGTTTTTGATTTGGCTCTCAGCTTGAACATTGTTGGTATGTAGAAATGCTACTGATTTTTAAGGCTGGTCGTGGTGGATCATGCCTGTAATCCCAGCACTTTGGGAGGCCAACACGGGTAGATCACTTGAGGTCAGGAGTTCAAGACCAGCCTGGCCAACATGGTGAAACCTCATTTCTACTAAAATTAAAAAGCAAAACAAAAATTAGCCAGGCGTGGTGGTGTGCACCTGTAATTCCAGCTATTCAGGAGGCGGAGGTTGCAGTTGGCTGAGATGGCACCACTGCACCAGGTGACAGAGTGAGACTCTGTCTCAAAAAAGAAATGCTACTGATTTTTATATATTAATTTTGTATCCTGAAACTTTGCTGAAGTCATTGATTAATTCCAGGAGCCTTTTTGGTGCATTCTTTAGGGTTTTCTAGGTATAGAATCATATCATCAGCAAAGAAAGATAGTTTGACTTCTTTTCCTATTTGGATGGCTTTTATTTCTTTCTTTTGCCTGATTGCTCTGGGTAGGACTCCCAGTAGTATTTTGAGTAAGAGTGGGGAGAGTGGGCATCCTTGTCTTGTTCCCATTCTCAAGGGAAATGGTTTGAGCTTTGGCCCATTCAGTATGGTGTTGGTTGTGGGTTTCTCTTGGATAGTTCTTATTATTTTGAGGTATATTCCTTTGGTATCTAGTTTTTTGAGGGTTTTTATCATGAAGGAATATTGGATTTTTTTTTTTTTTTTTTGGAGATGGAGTCTCACTCTGTTTCCCAGGCTTGAATGCAGTGGTGCGATCTGGGCTCACTGCAAGCTCCGCCTCCTGGGTTCATGCCGTTCTCCTGCCTCAGCCTCCTGAGTAGCTGGGACTACAGGTGCCTGCCGCCATGCCCAGCTAATTTTTTGTATTTTTAGTCGAGATGGGGTTTCACCGTGTTAGCCAGGATGATCTTGATCTCCTGATCTCGTGATCCGCCTGCCTCGGCCTTCCAAAGTGCTGGGATTACAGGCGTGAGCCACCACGCTTGGCCAGGATATTGGATTTTATTGAAAGCTTTTTCTATTGAGATAATATGTTTTTTGTTTTTAATTCTGTTTATGTGGTGAATCACTTTTATTGATTTGCATATGTTGAGTCAGACTTGCATCCCAGAAATAAAGCCTATTTGATCATGGTGAATTCGCTTTTTGATGTGCTGCTGGATTCAGTTTGCTAGTATTTTGTTGAGGATTTTTGATTCTATGGTCATCAGAGATATTGGCCAGAAGTTTTCTTTTTTTCATTGTGTCTCGGCCAGATTTTGGTATCAGGGTGATGCTGGCTTCATAAATTGAGTTAATGGGGGGAGTCGCCCCCCTTAGTTTTTTGGAATAGTTTTGGTAGGATTGGTACCGATTCTTCTTTGTACATCTGGTAGAATTTGGCTGTGAATCTACCTGGTCCAGGGCTTTTTCTGGTTGATAGGTTTTTTATTCCAGATTCAATTTCAGACCTCATTATTGGTCTGTTCAGATTTTCACTTTCTTCCTGCTTCAGTCACGGAAGGTTGTGTGTTTCCTGGAACTTAGTCATTTCCTCTAGATTTTCTAATTTGTGAAAAATGCACAATTATTAACTTACAAATCTATCATCTGTATGACTGAAAAAAAAGACTTTTCTGTATTAAATTTTTAATAAGCATTTTGACTTACCATTGCAGTTTGTTAAAATATCTAAAATTTTCTAGATTTTGTCCTAAAACAGCTTTTGTATTTCAAATTCTTCTGTATTCTTATTTATGTGAATATTTCTAGTGGTCTTTCATTTTTTTCATGAAATAATATAACGATGACACATATCCACCATAAATTGTTTTTCTATGAAATAGTTTATTTTTTCATCTCATTTCCATCCATGATTCTTTTACATTTTCATAGATTCTACGCTTTAGGAAATAGGCATATAATTTACGTTTGAAAATGATGTTGAATTTTTTTCTTTCTCAGAGTTTGCATGTTTTTCATTTTGTTTATCTATCTTCCTTCTCTCATATGCCTTTTATATAATTTTTAGACTAGAATATAAGAAGATTGTTAAAGTTTTAAAATAAACTATTACATAGCTATTTTGTGATTATTTGTGCTTGTTAGCAAGGAGCATAATTAAAGCTGTTTTCCCTCTTCCTGTTGGATGGACATCTTAGCCTGAGAATGCTGCAATGTTTTATGTAACTCTTGAGCCTGGAGTGCCCTGATAACCATACAGCTAAGTAATCATTTAGATGAAAAGAGGAAAGCAGTTGCACCCATGGGCAATTACCTTTTTTTATTAATAAGCTGTTAGACAATTAAGGGGAGCTTAGATGGTCTCTCGAGTGTGGTATTGTACTAAGTTGTGGGTAAATAACCTTGTTTGTGTGCTGGCTTATTTTTTTGTTGTCAGGGTGCCCATTCCGTCACAGTGATCCAGAGCTGCTGAAGCAAAAGTTGCAGTCATACAAGATCTCTCCTGGAGGGATAAGCCAGGTAGGTCATATTCTTCTCTCTGCATCTGCAGTAATGAGGCCTTAGACAGATCTGTCGGTTTTATTTAATGTTCTTGCAGTGATGCTGTGTACCACTTGTCAGGCCTCACACCAGACATCTTATCTTCAAGATGAATTAAGTTAAAACCTTGACTTATCTGGTTTAGACTCTTGGGAAATTCTAGTTCTTCTGTCTGCTAAGCTGCATTTTTATTTTTCCTAGTCATAAAGGAAGCTGGAAACCTTCCTCCACACCTCAGTTTGTTTTACTATCTCAACTGGGGACTACATCTTTAAAAATAAAATTTTTGAGCAATGCATGGAAGCTTATTAATGAAGCTGAAAATTAATGACAGCATATTGCAGTTTGGGAAATTATTTTCTGAGCAGATGATAATGTAGTACATACTGGCTGAATGTTCTGATAGGCATCAGTTATTGCTGTGTTTAATCTACACTTCTGATGGTAGATCAAATAGTTTGTCAAAATACTTTGTCTTATGAACAATGGAAATGCTCAGATTGTAAAACCAAATGTGAAACAGTACATTTTTTAGTAGTAGTAACTCTACCTTTAAAAAATTAATATTGTGACATAGCAAAGACTATTTTCTATAGTGTGCTTTCAAGTTGACTGGAATTTTGAAGGAATAGGGGAAGAGCTTCTGCTTCCTTAGCTTAAGAAGAACATTATATATTTTAGAGTTAGAACATCTAAATCATCATACATCTTTAAACTGTTATTTTTATTTAAAGAAAATTGTTACTCTAGACAACTTTACAGCTGCTTCTGTGTCCAAAGTTCAGATAACAAATCTTAAACAGTTTTTTAGTACTTTGAGCAAAGCAGTGTTCAAGGTGCCATAGAGTATGCAAGGAAGAATCAGATATAAATCCTGCTCCCACAAAACCAGTGTCTGAAAAAAAAAAAACATAAACCAAGTGTCATGAGAGGTACACATAGACTGTTTTGGGTCTTCTGATGAGGGAAAGACTATAACCAGCTGAAGAGGTCAAGGAACCCTTTATGGAAGAGATGCCCTTTGAATTAGGCCTTGCACGAAGGTTGGGAATTAGGGAGAGAGAATGCACAAATGAAAGACTATAGGAGTATTAAGATTTCAAGCTTAGGATAATGGTGGCACCAATACATAAATACTAATAGGTAACTTAAAGGAAGTATAGTTGGTTTCGGTTTGAGTGACTTAATTTTAGTGGTTATAAACTGCTGCTAACATATTTGATAAGGAATCTAGAAATAAAGAATTAGTGGCTTTTTTTTAAGCAATCATAAAGGATCACCTTTTTGAAAACAATACAAGTTCTTAGTGTATCTATGTTAACATATTATGTCTGCATTTAAATGGTATTAATGTGGATTTAGGGCATTAGATAATTTAGGACTAGAAATCTGATGGTCTTTTCAGTTAGAATTGTAGCATAGGTAGAAAGCCCTTCTCTTTTTTGGAGTCCTAGGATGTGACATGCCATGGTGCATAGGTAGGAAGTCAGTGGCAGAACCAAAAATTGAAGCCAGGCTTTCTGACTCTTAAGATTTTTTTTTTTTCCCTGAACTCCACTCTACTTTAGAGCTTATTATCATGAGTTTGCTGGAGGGAGAGAAGAGGTAGGGTGTCAAAAGCTGTGTTTGAAAATGTAATCTTGGCTAATCCTTCTCTTTGTCAAGCATTAAAAGGAGGTGGGATCAATGAAGACTGAACAGAAATGGGGAGAGAGGGAGAAAATACATTAGGGTAGTGAAGTATCACAAAAGTCAAGGAGAAAATTTTGAGAAGAGAATAAGTTCCACAGAGTCCCTTGTAGCAGAGATTTCTTTTCATGGAGAGAACTAAGAAAAGGTGGTTGGATATGCTGAGAGGATTATTTGACTTTGACTTTGGTGAGGTGTCAGTAAAATGGTGGAAACCAAAAGCAAGATTATACTTGCTTAAAAAATTAATGAAAGACAGTAAATAACCTTTCCAAAAAATGTGTCAGGCCAGGTGCAGTGGCTTGTACCTGTAATGCTAGCACTTAGTAGGGAGGCTGAGGCAGGCAGATTGCTGAGCCCAGGCATTCAAGACCAGCCTGGGCAACATGGCAAAAACCTGTCTCTACAAAAAATTAGCAGGTGTGGTGGCATGCAACTGTAGCCTCAGCTACTCAGGAGGCAGAGGTAGAAGAATCACCTGAGCCCAAGAAGTTGAGCCTCCAGGGAGCCGTGATCATGCCACTGCACTCCAGCATTGGCAATGGAGTGAGACCCTGTCTCAAGAAAAAAAAAAAGTGCCAGTAAAGGGGATGCTATAGTGGTATTAGCTTAAGCATCATTGTTCATTTCTGGGTTTAAGACCTGAGCCTATCTGTAGAAAGAGGAGGAGAAGAAAGAACTGTCAGAGAGGGTGGGCTTGATGAAGATATAAAAGAAAGAAAATATCTCTCTAACCAAGCAGAATTAAGTTCTCTTTTCTTTATACCATGACTGGATTGTACATGCCTTTGCTCTTAACATTTGTTACACTTGATTGTAATTATTTGTTTACCTGTTCATCTTTCCCAATAGTTTGTGAGTTTCCCGAAAGGAGGACTGGATTTTTACTTAACTTTCTGTCTCATGGCAATCCAATGAGTTACACTTGTTAGGTGCTTTAAAAATGTTGGAAGAGTGAATGGGCATATTTAGGTATGAGGTGGATGCTAGAGTATGCATGGTGGTATGCAGAGAGAGGCAAATAGGAACTCAAAGACACAAGTGAAAAAGTAACTTATTGGAGGAAGGACGATATGTACTTGAACCAAAGAATGGTGACAGAGAAAGTCATACCCCTCAGCAATGTGGGAACATAGAGGAAATAGTTAAGACACAGCAAAGGGAAGTTGATGGAGTGTATCAACTGGTCTCACTCTTCCTTGTAAATAAAGTAAGGAGGGTCATCAGCTGGAGAGTAAAGGGGTTATGAATGATATTCTGGTTATAGAAAATGTTAGAAACTACCACCAACAAATGTGATAGGGAATCTAGAAGAAATTAGAGGCGTTTTTTAGCAGTCATAAAGAATCACCTTTAAAAAAAATCTTAATATACTAACATTATCTCAAGAAAATTAATGTTTATAGTTAATAGTAATGACCATGTTTGTATACTCTTTGCTTTTGACTCCACTGTATTTCTCCATTTGCCCTTGATCCACAAGGATACTCCTTACTTAGCTGAAGCTGGTTAGTAATTTTCACATTACCCTTTAGACCTGCATTGTAACCTTTTATCTGAGATGAACACAGATGTATAGTGCATGCCAGCAAGCTGTAAATAATGTCTTGCTTTTATATGATGTCTTTATTGAGTGGATCTCACTAGAGTGAAGCAGCTGGTGGACTGTATTCTAAAGGGCAGAGAGTCAATGAATGAAAATGCCATGTAAAACATTTTGATGAGGTTGAATTTTGCAGGTTGGCCTAAGTGCAGATTAGATCTTGAAAACTCCAAGCGTACATTAAAATATTGAATGAGAGTTAAGAAAAACATCATTAAAATGTACGTAAGGTAGAACTCCATGTGGTTATTTTTATCTCAGAGAAAACTACTTGAAAAAGATACCTTCAACAATAGGAAATAGATTTTTTTTTTTTTAATTTTTGGAGACAGAGTCTTGCTCTGTCTTCCAGGCTGGAGTGCAATGGCGCAATCTCGGCTCACTGCAACCTCCATCTCCCGGGTTCAAGTGATTCTCCCACCTCAGCATCCCAAGTAGCTGGGATTACAGGCACCCTCCATCATGTCCAGCTAATTTTTGTATTTTTGTAGAGATGGGGTTTCACCATGTTGGCCAGGCCAGTCTTAAACTCCTGACCTTGGGTGGTCCGCCTGCCTCGGCCTCCCACAGTGCTGGGATTACAGGCGTGAGCCATCACGCCTGGCCAAGAAATAGATGTTTTAAATAATCAGAATTTTGGTGATCAGAAAAGAGATCATTGTGACTCAGCTGGTGTTGCTGATTTTTTTTATAAAGCATACTTACAGGATCACATTTCATTTTCCTTTTTAATTAACCTTAATAGTGTTACAAAATCACTGAAAATTAATGAGCTTGGTATCCAGCTTAAGAAACAGCAATTAAACAACAGAATATGGCCAAAGAAAATGGGTACCCCTGCATTTATTCTCCTCTCCTCCCCGAAAAGAGAAATACACAGCAGTCAATTCACCAACACGATATAAAAATTATAAATATTTATGCCCCAACAACATAGCTTCAAAATACATGAATTAATAATAGAGAACTGAAAAGAGAACTAGAAAAATCCACAGTTACATTTGGAGACTTCAGCACTCCTCTTAATAATTAACAGAAGAAGCAGGCAGAAAGTCAGGAAGGATATAGAAGCCTTGAACAATACTGTCAACCAACTTTACCTAATTAACATCTGTAGAACATGTTACCCAGCAACAGGAGACATGAAATAGTAACCCAGGTAGATCATAGTCTAGGTCTTTAAAATCCATTACAAATGTAAATAATTTGAAATCCTATAAAGTAGGATTTAAAGCAGAGCAATAAAGCAAGAAAAACAAAAGATTAGAAAAGAAGAAAGAAAACCTTTTTCTATTCTCAAAGTGATTATCAGTGTAAAAAATCTCAAAGAACCTAGCAAGATGCTACTGTAACTAGTAGGTGGAAGGATACTTACTCAATATACAAAAATCAATTCTATTTCTTACAGTGAACAATTGGAAATTAAACATTTCAAAAAGTATTAGTTTGCTGCAAACATAATTGTGGCTTTTACTGCAAATACTTTTGTAGCAACCTAATACCATATACAGCAGTACCAGAAATCCAAAATATACATGAGATCTTTACATGAAAGACTGATGAAAATGAAAAAGTGGAGACACATATTTCCTGATTTCAAAACTTACTGAAAACTATTGTAATTAAGATGGTGTGGTATTAGGGAAATGATGAAGACAGATTAATTGGACAGAATAGAGTTCAGAAGTAGACCCACATATATACGGGCAACTGATTTTTAAACAAAGGTGCCAGGGCAATTTAATAAGGAAATGGTAATGTGGAGTTCCAGAACAACTCCAGAGTTCTAGAACAAGTAGATCTAGAACAATTGGATATCCAAATGCAAAAATCCTAGACATATACCTCCAAGCTTATATAAAAATTATTTAAAAATTGATTATAGAACTAAGTAACTGTAAAATGTGAAACTTAACAAAAGAAAACAGAATATCTGCACGAGCTTGGGTTTGGTGTGTTCCCTGAAAGAAAATAGTGATAAATTAGACTTTACCAAAATTAAAAATTTTGCTCTGCAAAAGACAGCTTTAAGAGAACAAGATAAGCCACAGACTGGAAGAAACTATTTGCAAATCATAAATTTCATAAAAGATGTGAATCCAAAAGATATAAAGAACTCTCAAAACTCAGTAATTAGAAAACAGTTTTTTAAATGGGCAAAACATTTGAGTAGACAGTTCACCAAAGAAAAAGTGTGAATGGTAAATATAAGCACAGGAAAAAATATAGCTCATTAGTGAAATGAAATTTAAAACTACAATGAATACCATGATATGCCAAATAGAATTGGTCTAATTTAAAAAAATCAAGCAATACTAAGTGCTAGTGAGGATGCAGAGTGACTGAAAGTCTCATACAATAGTGGAGGAAATGCAAGTCATAGAGTCACTTTGAAAAGGAGTGTGGCAACTTCTTATAAAATGAAGCTTACACATGCTATGTGACACAGTGATACCTGTAACTAGTATTTATAGAATTGAAATAAAAGCATAAGTACACATAAAAATCTGTTCCTAAGTGTTTATAGTGTAGGCATTATTCATAATTGCCAAAAACTAGAAACAACCCAGATGTTCTTCAGTGTGTGATTGGATAAACAAATTGTGGTATAGTCATACAATGGAATATTACCTGGCAATAGAAAGGAATAAATTACTGGTACACCCATTAACATGTAAGGTTCTCAAATACATTATACTAAGTGAAAGAAGTCAGACTCAAAAGCACTATGGTGTATAATTCTATTTGTATGACAAATCTGTAGGTACAGAGTGATTGCTGGGAGCAGGAGAGGTGTTATAAAGGACAAGGGAAATATTTTTGGGTAATGGGAATGATCTGTGTTGATTGCAGGGTAATATCAAAAGTGAATTTGTCAAATGTTGCAGAACTATGATAAAAGGAAATATATTTTATTTAAAAACTTTTACTTTTTTAGGAAAAACTTAGTCCCTGAGTAAAAAGGGGATATATTTTACTGTGTGGAAATTATACCTTAAATTTTTTTCTTTTTTTTCTTTTCGCTTTTTTTTTTTTTTTTTTTTTAATAGACAGGGTCTTGCTCTGTCACGCAGGCTGGAGTGCAGTAGTGTGATCATATCTCATTGCAACCTTGAACTCCTGGGCCTAAGTGATCCTCTTGCCTCAGTCTCCTAAGTAGCTGGGGTTACAGGTGCACATCACCATGCCCAGCTAATTTTTTACTTTTTTGTAGAGATAGAGGTCTTGCTGTGTTGCCTAGGCTGGTCTTGAACTCATGGCTCAAGCAGTCCTGTCACCTTGACCTCCCAAAGTGCTGGCATTATAGACATGAGCCACTTAATTTCTTTTTTTAATGGGGGGAGAAAGAAAGGGTAGATGGTAAGTAGCATAATGAGCCAAAATATTTAGTTTTCATAGTAAAAATGCAGTGGATTAAGTTTATATCAGGAACTTAAAGTATAAACATATAATTTAGAGTGACATAGACAACATCTTATGTAATAAAAAATGGAAATGGTTAAAGTAATTGCCTCTTGGAAACTAACCAAGCAGTGGGAAGAAATGTGATATGAGAACTGTTGATTTTAATAATAAGCCATAATGTACTTCAGTTTTTTTCCTTACATACATTACTTTGATTAAAAGTTAGAAAGAAAGTATAATGTTATTAATGAAGTTTAAGTTAAATGGTCGTGTGCCTAATGGATAGATGGTAATAGCAGTAGTACTAGATGACTGCAAGGTCTTTGGGTATGAAATTCTAACCCTAATCCCTCTGAGCTCCCAGTACCTAGCATAGTATCTGATCCATGTTAGGAACTGTGAAGGATCTGAGATTTTACCCTACTTGCAAGCTAAGAACTTAGCTGCCACACTTCTATGGATTCTGGCAGAAGACATGACAATTCCAGCAATAGCAGTATGTCAGCCTTTTCTTGCATTTGTTCCTTGAGCCCTACTTCCCACAGAGCAACATGAAGGCCAGGTACTACCTGCACATGCAGTGGCTTGCTTGTGTTGGAGGAGGGAAACCCTGAATTTAGGGAATCTGAACCTTTTATTATGGACAGTAAGTATGTCTACTCTTTTAATTTATTTTTAATTAATTAATTATTTTTTTTGAGACAGAGTTTTGCTCTTGTCACCCAGGCTGGAGTGCAATGGCGCGATCTCTGCTCACTGCAACCTCTGCCTCCTGGGTTCAAGCAATTCTCCTGCCATATGTCTGCTGTTTAATCCAGTGGAAGGAACCATTGTCTTCCAGGGCTGTTCATTATATCAGAGGTCCCCAACCCCTGGGCCACGGACTGGTACTTGTCCATGGCCTGTTAGGAACAGCAGGAGGTGAGCCAGGGCAAGCAAGCATTACTGTCTGAGCTCCACCTCCTGTCAGATCAGTGGCCATGTTACATGGTACTGGTCCATGGCCTGTTAGGAACAGCAGGAGGTGAGCCAGGGCAAGCAAGCATTACTGCCTGAGCCCCACCTCCTGTCAGATCAGTGGCCATGTTAGATTCTCATAGGAGCTCGAACCCTATTGTGAACTGTGCATGCGAGGGATCTAGGTTGTGTGCTACTTATGAGAATCGAACTAATAATGTCTGATGATCTGAGGTGGAACAGTTTCATCCTGAAACCACCTTTCCACCCTGGCCCGTGGAAAAATTGTCTTCTACGATACTGGTCCCTGGTTCCAAAAAGGTTGGAGACCATTGTATTATATGAACATCTTTGAAAAAATGGTCTGAAGTAAAGGCCGTTGTTGCCTCTATTTGCAAAATGTTCAGAAATTTAAGACTATTGGAAAGTTATTTCTCAGGAATACATAGCTGATGACCAGTGAATAATATATAGATATACAATCTATATTGGTCACTTCTTATTGGAACCTCAGCTTTTTCTCCTTAAAATATTGGTGTACGTTGGCTGGGTGTGGTGGCTCACACCTATAATCCCAGCACTTTGGGAGGCCGAGGCGGGCAGATCACAAGGTCAGGATATCGAGACCATCCTGGCTGACACGATGAAACCCCGTCTCTACTAATACAAAAAATTAGCCGGGCGTGCTAGCGGGCGCCTGTAGTCCCAGCTACTTGGGAGGCTGAGGTAGGAGAATGGTGTGAACCTGGGAGGTGGAGCTTGCAGTGAGCAGAGATCATGCCACTGCACTCCAGCCTGGGCAACAGAGCGAGACTCTGTCTCAAATATATATATGTGTGTGTGTGTGTGTGTGTATACATTTTAATCTCAATACTTTCATTAATTTCTTTTCAAAATTGGCAGTGAGTTAAAAAATCCTTTCAATGTTTTGTTAGTTTGGGTATCGTATCTATTATCAATAGTTTCTGCCTAAGTTAGATGTCTGAAGTTTCTAATTATTCTAAAAACACTTTTGTTTTTTAGCTTTTATTTTCCACTTCAGCTTTTCCTTTAAAAACCTGCAATTTTATGATAGAAATATTTATATTTTGAGATACAGAAATTTTAGAGCTGGGCGCGGTGGCTCATGCCTGAATCCCAGCACTTTGGGAAGCCAAGACCTATGGGTTGCTTGAGCCCAGGAGTTCGAGACCAGCCTGGGTAACTTGGCAAAACCCAGTCTCTACAAAAAAATATAAAAATTAGCCAGGCATGGAGGCATGCACCTGTAGTGTCAGCTATGCAGGAGGCTGAGGTGGGAGGATTGCTGGATTGCTTGAGCCCATGGGGACTGAGTGAGCCATGATCATGCCACTGCACTCCAGCCTGGGCCACAGAGTGAGACCCTGTCTCCAAAAAAAAAAAAAAAAAAAAAATTGAGAATATGTGTTCAAAATATTGACAGTAAAATCTCTTATTGGCCTTAAATGGTTTGTTTCTCAGAAGTTTTTTCTATTGTGGAAAGATGCACATGAAATTTTCAAATTGTACTTTGTTTCATGGGCTTATAATGGTGTGCTATGTCCTATTTTAATAGAAAAATTGGGGCTGGCCACAGTGGCTCACGCCTGTAATCCCAGCACTTTGGAAGGCCGAGGTGAGAGGATTGCTTGAAGCCAGGCGTTGGAGACCACCTTGTAGACCCTGCCTTTAAAAAAGTAATAAAAATAACAGTTGTGGTGGTGCACACCTGTAGTTCTAGCTGTTCGGGAGGCTGAAGCAGGAAGCTTGCTTGAGCCTAGTAATTGTTACAGTGAGCTATAATTGTGCCACTGTACTCCATCCTGGAAGACACAGCAAGACTCCATCTCTCCAAAAATTAACAAACAATAAATACATAAAGTTTATAGGAAAATTGTCTTTTTGTTATACTGAATCACTTGCGGCATATCCTTAGTTCTCACAGAACTTAATAAATAAACAATAATTGCTGCCTACAGACTAATCTAAAAGTGGTAGTTCATTGTAATATATGCCACAATGAAGTTAACGTCTTTTATTGTAATCTCTGAATGCTATTACTCCTTAATAGTTTTTTTTTCTTATTATGTAGTAATGAGGGGTGTGCTTGATCTGTCTCTGGAAATAGAACAATTTGAAGCCATGGTAGTTTGTTTTATTTTTGGCCTGCTTATGCAAAGCATTGTGATGGAGGCTTTACACAAATAAACTGTATCTCATTTGATTCCCACCACTACATTATCCCTATTTTATAGATGAGAAAGCTGAGGTTTGGAGAAGGCAAGAAACTGCTCAGAACCATAGAACTAATATATGATAAGGCCAGAATTCACACCTATGCCTGACAGTGAAGCTGAAGTTTCTTACAATACATTGTTCTGATTCTCTGTAGTATTTTTCTATTTTAAATCCAGTTGAAATTCTTTTTGGTTTCTTCTTTCATGGAAAGCCATCACTGTGAAGTGAATGGTAATTCTTATGTACCTAAACCTAAGAAAATGTATAATGCATTGTTGAAACACTGACAAATGTGAAATAAAGATGAGAATAATTCAGAAAATGTAAATTATATATGGTAACAGATTTTCAAAAGATCTGATTGCTTTTTTTATTGAGGTGAAAGTCACATAACATACAAATAACTATTTTAAAATGTACAATTCAGTGCATTTAGTACATTCACAATATTTTACAACTACTATTTCTATCAAGTTCCAAACCTTTTCATCACCCCCAAAGAAAACTTCATACCTATTAAACAATCACCTCCTGCTGCCCCTAGAAACTAATAATCTGCTTTCTATTTCTGTGGATTTACCTATTCTGAATATTTCATAAAATAGCATCATACACTGTCTGGCTTACTTCATATAGCATTTTTACAAAGTTCATTTGTGTTTTGTTCTTTTGAATGGCTGAATGATACTCCATTGTATGTCTGTACCACATTTTGTTTATCCATTCGTCCTTTGATGGACACCGGGTTGTTTCCACCAACTGGGTGACTTTAAAAATTTATCTCACAGTTTTGGAAGCCAGCAGTCAAGGTGCTGGCAGGTTAGTTCCTTCTGAGAGCTGTGAGGGAGAATCTGTTCCCACGTTTTCCCCAGCTTCTGGTGGTTTGTTGGCAATCTTTGACTTGTAGATGCATCACTCCAAACTCTATCTTTATTTTCACATGGCTTCCTCCCTGTACGTCTTCTCACCATCTTTGCTCTGTGCATTCTTTGTCTAGTTTCCTCTTTTTAGGAGGACACCAGTAATATTGGATTAGGGCTTACCTTAATGACCTCATTTTGATTACCTCTGTAAATACCCTATTTCCAAATAAGATCACATTTTTAAGTAGTGGGAGTTAGGACTTCAACATATCTTTATTTGAGGGACACAATTCATTTCATAACACCATCCTTTTAAGTATGCAGTGATATCTCATTGTGGTTTTGATTTGCATTTTTCTAATGAATAATGATGTTGAACATCTTTTTATATGCTTTTTGGCCATTTGTACATCTTCTTTGAAGAAATGTCTATCCAATTCCTTTGTCTATTTTTGAATTGGGTTGTCTTTTTGTTGAGTTTAAGAGTTCTTAATATATTTTGGATACAAGACTCTTATCAGATAGATACATGATTTGCAAATATGTTCTCCTATTCTGTAGATTTTCTTGTCAACAACTTCTTAATGTCTATCGGTGGACAAAAGATTTTAATTTTGATGAACTTTGTTTTCTTTTGTTACTTGTACTTTTAGTGTCATAATTATCTATATTCAAATTCAAGGTTGTGAATATTGACATCTATGGCCTTGTATAAAAGTATTATAGCTCTAGCTTTTATATTTAGGTCATTGGTCCCTTTTGAATTAATTTTTGTAGATGGTATGATGTAGGGGTTTATCTTCATTCTTTTGCTTGTGAATATCCAGTTTTCTAACACTATTTCTTGAAGAGACAATTTCCCCATTGATGGTCTTGCACCCTTGTCAAAACTCAATTGGACATAGATGTATGGGATAATTTCTGGAATCTCAATTTCTACTGTATTGGTCTATATGTCTGTCCTTATGCCAGCCAGTACCACACTGTTTTGATTTCTGTACCTTGTATTGAGTTTTGAAATCAGGAAGCATGGAATCTTCCAATTTTGTTCTTTTTCAATATTATTTTGGCTATCTGGAGCTCCTTGCAATTCCATATGAATTTGAGGATCAACTTTTTTATTTCTGCAAAAACAGCCATTAGAACTTTGATACGGATTGCATTGAATCTGTAGATTGTGTATAAAGAGGGATCATGGCAGATGGGAGGCAGGACTAGATTGCAACTCCTGACAGAGCAGCATGTGGAGGCTTAAATTGTGAATTTTAGCTCCAGATCGACTGCAAGAACAAACCAGCAATCCTGAGAGGACCCTCAGACTCTCTGAAGGAAGTGGACTGCTCCTGCAGGACCCAGGAGACACCCCAAATACTCTGGGAGGTGAAAGCCTCGGGCAAGTTTTCAAGCCCACCTTCCACCTGGAAACAGATCTGGGGCTGTTGTGGGGGGCATGGTGGGAGTGAGATCAACCCTTCAGTTTGCATGGGAGCTGGGTGAGGCCTGTGACTGCTGGCTTTCCCTCACTTCCTTGACAACCTGCATGACTCAGCAGAGGCAGCCATAATCCTCCTAGGTGCACAACTCCAGTGACCTGGGAATCTCACCCCGTCCCCCACAGCAGCCGCAGCAAGACCCACCCAAGGAGAGTCTGAGCTCAGACATGCCTAGCCCCGCCCCCCACCTGACAGTCCTTCCCTACCCACCCAGGTAGCAGAAGACAAAGGACATATAATCTTGGGAATTCTAGGGCCCCACCCACTGCTGATCCCTCTGCACTGCTACTGCTGATGCTCTCTGGAAAGCGCCACCTCTTGGCAGGAGGCCAACCAGCACAAAAATAGAACATTAAATAACCAAAACTAAGAACCGTCATAGAGTTCATTGCACCTTCTGCCGCCTCCAACGGAACAGGCGCTGGTATCCATGGTTGAGAGACCCATAGATGGTTCACATCACAGGACTGTGCAGAAACCCCCAGTACTAGCATGGTGCCAGGTAGACTCACTGGATGGTTAAACCCAGAAGAGAGACAACAATCATTGCAGTTCGGCTCACAGAAAGCCACAACCACAGGAAAAATGGAGAGTACTACATCAAGGGAACACCCTGTGCACTAGAATCTGAACAACAGCATTCAGCCCTAGACCTTCCCTCTGACAGAGCCTACCCAAACGTGATGGAACCAGAAAACCACCCCTGGTAAAATGACAAAACAAGGCTCATCAACACCCCCTAAAAATCATACTAGTTCACCAGCAATTGATCCAAACCAAGAAGAAATCCCTGATATAACTGAAAAAGGAATTCGATAGGTTAGTTATTAAGCTAATCAGGGAGAACCAGGGAAAGGCAAAGCCCAGTGCAAGGAAATTCAAAAAGTGACACAGGAAGTGAAGAGAGAAAGATTCAATGAAATAGATAGCTAAAAGAAAAAACAATACAAAATTCAGGAAACTTTGGATACACTTTTAGAAATGCAAAATGCTCTGGAAAGTCTCAGCAATAGAATTGAACAAGTAGAAGAAAGAAATTCAGAGCTTGAAGACAAGGTGTTCGAATTAACCCAATCCAACAAAGACAAAGAAAAAAGAATAAGAAAATATGAACAAAGCCCCTAAGAAGTTTGAGATTATGTTAAACTACCAAACCTAAGAATAATTGGTATTCCTGAGGAAGAAGATAATTCTAAAAGCTTGGAAAACATATTTGGGGGAATAATTGAGGAAAACTTCCCCAGCCTTGCTAGAGACCTAGACATGCAAATATAAGAAGCACAGGGCCAGGTGCGGTGGCTCACACCTGTAATCCCAGCACTTTGGGAGGCTGAGGCAGGTGGATCATGAGGTCAGGAGATTGAGACCATTCTGGCTAACACAGTGAAACCCCATCTCTACTAAAAATGCAAAAAATTAGCTGGGCGTGGTGGCACACACCGGTAGTCCCAGCTACTTGGGAGGCTGAGGCAGGAGAATCACTTGAACCTGGGAGGCTGAGGTTGCAGTGAGCCAAGATCATGCCACTACACTCCAACTTGGGTGACAGAGTGAGACTCCATCAAAAAAAAAAAACAAAGAACACCCAAGAAATTCATTACAAAAAGATCTTCGCCTAGGCACATTGTCATCAGGTTATCCAAAGTTGAGATGAAAGAACGAATCTTAAGAGCTGTGAGACAGAAGCACCAGGTAACCTATAAAGGAAAACCTAACAGATTAACAACAGATTTCTCAGCAGAAACCCTACAAGCTAGAAGGGATTAGGGCCCTATCTACAGCCTCCTCAAACAAAACAAACATCAGCCAAGAATTTTGTATCCAGTGAAACTAAGCACCACATATGAAGGAAAGATAACAGTCGTTTTCAGACAAACAAATGCTGAGAGAATTCGACATTACTAAGCCACCACTAGAAGAACTGCTAAAAGGAGCTCTAAATCTTGAAACAAATCCAGGAAACACATCAAAACAGAATATCTTTAAAGCATAAATCTCACAGGACCTGTAAAATAAAAATACAAGTTAAAAAACAAAAACAAAAAACCAAAGTATGCAGGCAACCAAGAGCATGATGAATGCAAAGGTACCTCACATTTCAATACTAACATTGAATGTAAATGGCCTAAATGCTCCACTTAAAAGGTACAGAACTGCAGAATGCATAAGAACTCATCAACCAACAATCTGCTGCCTTCAGGAGACTAACCTAACACATAAGGACTCACATAAACTTAAAGTAAAGGTGTGGAAAAAGGCATTTCATGCAAATGGACACTGAAAGCAAGCAGGGGTAGCTGTTCTTATATCAGATGAAACAAACTTTAAAGCAACAGCATTACAGGCAGGAGCTGCCATGCCAGGCATTTTGCTCACTGCTTTCAATGATGTCATGTCTTTTTTGTCCCTCAGTTTCTCCATTAGTACCTTCTTTTGCATTAAATTTTTTTTTGGTAGTGTACTTAGTCTGTTTTGTGCTGCTGTAACAGGATACCACAGACCAGCTAATTTATAAATGAAAGAAATTTATTTCTCACAGTTATAGAGGCTGAGAAGTCCAAGGTTGAGGAGCCTATTTCTGATCTGATGAAGACTTTCTTGTTCAATCTTCACATTGCAGAAGGACAAGAGAACAAGCTAGCCAAATGCCATCTGAAGCTGCTGCTGCTTTTTTTCTTTATAAGGGCCTTAGTTCTATTAATGAGGAATGAGCCCTCATGGCCTCATCATGTCTTAAAGGTTCCACCTCTTAATACTAGCAGATTTGCAGCACCTGAACTTTGGAGGGGACACATTCAGACCACAGTACCATAGTACCATTTTTATTCCCATCACTTTTTTTTTTTGATGTATTTTTTTCTCATTATTTGCTTAGTCGTTATCCTGGAGACTGTAACCTTTTATATGTATAACAATTTTTAATATCAACTTAGCATCTATTATATACCAAAACTCCACTTCTGTATAGCTCTGTCCCTCCCCCTTATATTGTTGTCACAAGTTACATCTTCATACATTGTGTGCCCATTAACTTATAATTACTGTTTTATGCATCGTCTTTTAAATCATTTGAGAAAAAAGAAGAGTTACAAATCAAAAACACAATAATACTGGATTTTTAATACCTATATAGTTACCTTAGCTCGTGTTCATTCTTTTTGAATGGCTTTGAGTTACTTTGTAGTGATCTTTTCTTTCTGCCTGAAGGATTTACTCTAGCATTTCTTGTTGGGCAGGTCTACTAACAACAGACTCCCTCAGCATTTGTTTATCTGGGAATGTCTTACTTTTTCCTTATGAATCTTGGTTGACATTTTTGTTTTCTTTCTTTCTTTTTTGAGATGGAGTCTCACTCTGTCACCCAGGCTGGAGTGCAGTGGCACGGTCTCAGCTCACTGCAACCTCTGCCTCCTGGGTTCAAGCAATTTTCCTGCCTAAGCCTCCCAAGTAGCTGGGATTACAGCCAGTTTGTGTTAGCTCCAGTATACCACTGGCTATAGTAAAATGTACACCAAGTTTCACAGAGTAATAATAGTATCAAAAAAAAGCATTACAAAATATCTCAGTAATGTTTTATATTGATTACATTTTGAAATGACAATATTTTAGATATATTGCTTTGAATAAAATATATTACTGAAAATAATTGCTTATTTTTACTGTTTTAATTGTGGTTATAGAAAATCTAAAATTACAGATATGTCATATTTCTGTTGAGAGCACTGCTTTAAGTGTCGAGCACTTGAGAATGTTGAGTATTCGAGTGATTAGGTTCTGTTTCTACAGTGTATTTTAATGTTTGCTTCTGCTGTACAATTGTGTTAGACCTATTACAACCAATACTTACTTTTACATGTTGGCCCATAAGTAAGTATACATAAGGCTATTCATTTTTCAAGATTTTGATTGAAATGATACATTATTTACAAATGTATTTCTGCACTAATGTTTTTAAAACTGTCTTTTTATTTCTCATTTTAGTTTTTTTAATAGAGGAAGGAAATGTGTTTTAGAATTTTCACTCAACTATTAATGATTTTTAAAACAAATCTAATTGGTGCTTCTAAGAAACTTAAGAGTGAATTAAAGCCATGAAATATGAAAAAATGTATGCTCTTATTGCTTTTTGAGAGGTTGGTTAACCTCTGTTTTTCACAGTCAAAAATTCTCAAGAAGTTAGTGACTATATTAAATCTAAAACTGGCAAATGCCTTTTAATGAAGAAATCTTTCAAAGGGGACAGTTTAAAAGACTTAAAAGTAACTCTTTGTCAAGAAGTTTTTATGATAAAGATAAATTTCAATGACTCTTTATTTAATGTTCCTAAAAATCTGAGCTACCTAAAAACTCCTATGATTTTCTTAGGTAAGGGGGACTTACCAGTGGATGATAGTATTCAGGCTGTCTATTACTTTATGGAAAGTAACTGCTTTTAAGGGGAGCTTTTGTATCTATTTCGTCTTCAGGAGTATCTCTTCTGATTTTTGAGAACGGTAGTTTGATTGCTGCACTTAGCTTTGCTTTTCTTAGTGTTGTAGTTGAAGATGTGTAACGTTCTTGGTAAAACTCAGAACTGCATTAAGGAAAAGATGGGAAGTTGAGCATTAGAATTGGTGTCACCAGGCCATGGTTGTACTTTTGGCTTTAATACTTGATTTCTGTGTATATCCTTCCTTTCTTATAGGCTGAAGATAAATGGTTGCTTGAAGATTTAATGTTCAAGGTGGTTCAAAGAAAAATCACTTTGAAAGTCAAGTAACATATGTCATTGTTAGCTAAGCCTATTAATTAAAACTTATATTCATTAAAATTGCATTCAAATGGAAAACATCCTTTCTTAAAATTTAATACTCTGTTCATATAGTTACACATCTTTCTATATTTATTATGTATTCATTACATGAAAAACTACTGATACCTATGGAAGAATTTTATTCAGTCACATATGATACTGTCACTTAGGATATTTTTGTAAAGTCAAACCTAACTACCTATAGTCATAAAACTATTCTAACTTAGTTCTATTTCTTGATCAGTTTTATAGAGTATACTCCCAGAGGCATCCCAGCTTCTTTTGAAGAAGTAAGCTTAAGGTACCCAGAAGGTTAAGTAAATTTATTTCATAAAGCAAGTAGTTTAGATTTTTAGACTGGGTAGCTTTAAGTCATTTCATTCTTCTTGGTGGTGTTTACCATCAATTTGCAATGTATTTCTTGTTAAAGTTTCTATCTCTGAATTTATATGATTATTTTTACTTCTTAATTCTTAAGTGACAGATTTTAACATTAGCTTCTGTTTTCAATAGCATATCCAGGAGATATGATACATCTTTTAATAAACAATCTAAAGTAATTATTAAATCAGTACATGATACATCTTTTAATAAGCATAATCTTCTAAAGTAATTATATAATCAGTATAAATATCTTTCATTATTTTCATAAAGATCATAGAGCATAGTGATTCTGAATTGGCTTGCTTTTATATTAGGCCAAAAAATAGAATACTCAAAGCACAGTAATAATTAGTAACTGAACCATGGAACTGAGGTTTGACAATACATTTCTCCGTATCTCTAAGCAGGCTTTACATGTGTCTTCTCGTTTGTCCTACCTTCCCCCTCATTATCTTTCCTCTCTTCTTCCTTCTCTTTCCTTCCCTCCTTGCTTTCTAAGTTTACTTAGTTGTTAATGTTCCCTAAGAGCTTAAATTCTTTAATCCAAAATGTTGGTATTAATGTGCACTAAGAAAATCAGTATTTTGGGTAGCAGTTTAAATTGCTTCTCAACAATCCTTTTATTGGTACCTAACTACAATAGAGTATGATAAGTGCTTTAATAATTAACTATTATAAAGTATGCTAAATGCTTTTATAAAAATATATTCAAAGTGCCAGAGGGGAAAGATCTTCTGTTGAAGAGGGAGCAGAAGAGAATGCTTCATATAAGAAGTGACATTTTAATTGGGTTTGAAAGTTGAGTAGGAGTTTCCCCTGTGCCTGATGTAAGGCAGATTAGGCAAAAGGAGCAGCATTCATTCAACATCAACAAATAATAATTGCGTGAGGATTGTATTCCATTTACTGTTCAAGACATTGGGAATATAATGATGACTAAAACTAGTGAGACTTCTACCTTCATGGAGCTGATATTCCAGTGGGGAGACAGACTGTATTAGTCTGTTTTCATGCTGCTGATAAAGACATGCCCAAGACTTGGTACTTTATAAGGAAAAAAAGGTTTAATGGACTCACAGTTCCATGTGGCATAGGAGCCCTCACAATCATGGTGGAAGGTGAGAGGCACGTCTTACATAGCAGCAGACAAGAGAGACAATGAGATCCAAGTGAAAGGGGTTTCCCCTACAAAACCATCATCAGATCTCGTGAGACTTACTCACTACCACGCGAACAGTATGGGGGAAACTGCCCACATGATTCAATTATCTCCCACCAGGTCCCTCCCATGACATGTGGGAATTATGGGAGCTACAGTTCAAGATGAGATTTGGGTGAGGATAGAGCCAAACCATATATCGCAGATAAACAAGTAAGTGTAGTGAAATAAAACTATGGCAGGATAAGAGAGAAGAATGAGACTTGTGGAGGTGACTCTATTAATTTAAATAAGGTTGTTTGGTGTGTTTTGAGGAACCCTAGTCCTGAGAGATCTATGAAAAATGGATTCTGGGGACAAATTAGTTTGAGAAACGTTACCCTATTAAGTTCTGCCGTGAAGAAACTTAGGTAATTGTGGATTAAAGCCAGTTAAACAAGTTATTAGACAAGAAAACCCCCGATCATCACTAGGATTTTGTGAGCTAAAGTTCCAAAGAGCACATTGCAGGAGAAGCTGGACCAGAGTATGAGGATCCAGTGGCCAGGTAGGACAGGGTAGGAGCCTTTGAATCATGATGAAAAGTTTGTGCCCCAGCCATGCCAGGATTAGATTTGGCCTTTAGAAAAGGTACTCTTGTGGCAATGTGGCAGCTATCTTGAGTGAAGAAAGTATAAATCAAGAAGCTTTCCAATAAAAAAGAGAATGATAAAGACTTCAAAAATGGAGAGAAAAGGGTAGATTTTAATGACATTTGGAGGTAGAATTGACTCAGATAACTTTGTTTATAGATAATAAAGAGTCAGAAAAATTCTTGACATATAATGTTTTAAAGAAATGAAAGTACATCTTCAAGAGAGGGAAACTTGGCCCTGATCTGCCAGTAAGTGAAGGTCACAGCAAGGCAGCAGCAGGCTAAGCTGTGCTGAGTGTGTGAGAAATGGGAGCAAAGTCGTATGTTCAAAAATGTGCAAGACTTGGCATCTCCACCACATTTTTCTTTCACCTTTGAAATATGGGAAGGTTAGAAATGGAGTGGAAAAATATCAGCCCAGTCTAGTTTTGAAAGATTGAGTTTTTTAGGAAGAAGCAAGCTTGTTATCACTTTCAAATAAGACAAAACTTGACCTTGAATTAGATTAGCCACATATCTAATTGGTGAGTGCAGCGTACCTAGCTGTACAGCGCTCTGCTCACCAAAGCCAAAGATGGGCAGGTGGCTGCATTCTGCTGCCAGGTAATCATCTGAACCTCGTTGGCAGGCATTGAAGCAAAAGAGAGAGAGGAATTTGCAGCTGGCTAGAAATATTAAGAGAATTAGCAAGAGGGAGGAAGTGTGGCTCAAAGTTATAAAATGTTGTGTGTGTATAAAAAGAGGAGAGTTCTATTTTTGTATATGTGTGTGTTATAAATAGACATACCTATAGCATTTCCCACCAGTGTTCTGTATCATCTATGTTCCATCACTGATTAAATCAGAAAAATATCACCTTATTTGCTTTTTGCTCCTCAACTGCAAAGATGTCTTTGGTGAGGTGCTTTACTAGAATTCTCTTACAGAAAAAAAAAATCAGTAATTCATCTTGAGGATGAAATAGTAGATGAAGTATAATTAATGCTTTTAGCAAACTTAGCAAATACAAATATGAACTTTTTGTGAAGATGAAAACTGCATTGCTTTTTTTTTTTTTTTTTTTTTTAAGACAGTGTCTCATTCTGTCACCCAGGCTGGAGTGCAGTGGCATGGTCAGGACTCACTGCAGCCTCGACCTCCCCTACTCAAGCGAAGCTCCCGCCTCAACCCCCCAAGTAGCTGGGACTACAGGCATGTGCCACCATGCCTGGCTAATTTTTCATATTTTTATTAGAGACAGGGTTTCTCCGTGTTGCCTAGGCTGGTCTTGAACTCCTGGACTTAAGCAATCCACCTGCCCTGGCCTCCCAAAGTGCTGGGATTACAGGTGTGAGCCACCACACTCAGCCTATTTTTAAAATCCGTAATATTCTTACTGGTGGACTTTATTCAACTGATAGAGAATAGTTAAAAATAAAGAGAGGCCAGGCATGGTGGCTCACAACTCTAATCCTAGCACTTTTGGAGACCGAGGCTGGTAGGTTGCTTGAGGCCAGGAGTTTAAGAACAGTCTGGCCAACATGGCAAAACCCCATCTCTATTAAAAATTCAAAAATTAGCTGGGTGTTATGGTGTGCATCTCTAATCCTGGCTACTTGAGAGCTGAGGCAGGAGAATCACTTGAACCCGGGAGGTGGAGGTTGTAGTGAGCCGAGATTGCACCACTGCCCTCTAGCCTGGGTGACAGAGTGAGACTCTGTCTCCAGAAAAAAAAAAAAAAAAAAAAAAAGTTTAAAAATATATAGAGTTTAAAAATACGAATTACCAAAATATGGTAGTTTGATGTCACTACTACTCACTTTTTCTTTCTTTCTTTTTTTTCTTTTCACATTCAGGGACCTCATTATCTTTATTATGTAATTTTACAATAAATTATGGTTCTATTGTACTTAAGCATTTATACAAACATTAGCTCCCTTAATCATCATAGTTGTAAATGGGACAAATCTTTTTTTTTTTTTTTTTTGGGGTTTTTTTTTTTTTTTAATACTTTAAGTTTTAGGGTACATGTGCACATTGTGCAGGTTAGTTACATATGTATACATGTGCCATGCTGGTGCGCTGCACCCACTAACTCGTCATCTAGCATTAGGTATATCTCCCAATGCTATCCCTCCCCCCTCCTCCCACCCCACCACAGTCCCCAGAGTGTGATATTCCCCTTCCTGTGCCCATGTGATCTCATTGTTCAGTTCCCACCTATGAGTGAGAATATGCAGTGTTTGGTTTTTTGTTCTTGCGATAGTTTACTGAGAATGATGGTTTCCAATTTCATCCATGTCCCTACAAAGGACATGAACTCATCATTTTTTATGGCTGCATAGTATTCCATGGTGTATATGTGAGACATTTTCTTAATCCAGTCTATCATTGTTGGACATTTGGGTTGGTTCCAAGTCTTTGCTATTGTGAATAATGCCGCAATAAACATACGTGTGCATGTGTCTTTATAGCAGCATGATTTATAGTCATTTGGGTATATACCCAGTAATGGGATGGCTGGATCAAATGGTATTTCTAGTTCTAGATCCCTGAGGAATCGCCACACTGACTTCCACAATGGTTGAACTAGTTTACAGTCCCACCAACAGTGTAAGAGTGTTCCTATTTCTCCACATCCTCTCCAGCACCTGTTGTTTCCTGACTTTTTAATGATTGCCATTCTAACTGGTGTGAGATGATATCTCATAGTGGTTTTGATTTGCATTTCTCTGATGGCCAGTGATGATGAGCATTTTTTCATGTATTTTTTGGCTGCATAAATGTCTTCTTTTGAGAAGTGTCTGTTCATGTCCTTCGCCCACTTTTTGATGGGGTTGTTTGTTTTTTTCTTGTAAATTTGTTTGAGTTCATTGTAGATTCTGGATATTAGCCCTTTGTCAGATGAGTAGGTTGCAAAAATTTTCTCCCATGTTTTAGGTTGCCTGTTCACTCTGATGGTAGATTCTTTTGCTGTGCAGAAGCTCTTTAGTTTAATTAGATCCCATTTGTCAATTTTGTCTTTTGTTGCCATTGCTTTTGGTGTTTTGGACATGAAGTCCTTGCCCACGCCTATGTCCTGAATGGTAATGCCTAGGTTTTCTTCTAGGATTTTTATGGTTTTAGGTCTAACGTTTAAATCTTTAATCCATCTTGAATTGATTTTTGTATAAGGTGTAAGGAAGGGATCCAGTTTCAGCTTTCTACATATGGCTAGCCAGTTTTCCCAGCACCATTTATTAAATAGGGAATCCTTTCCCCATTGCTTGTTTTTCTCAGGTTTGTCAAAGATCAGATAATTGTAGGTATGCGGCGTTATTTCTGAGGGCTCTCCAATCAATAGAAAAAGAGGGAATCCTCCCTAACTCATTTTATGAGGCCAGCATCATTCTGATACCAAAGCTGGGCAGAGACACAACCAAAAAAGAGAATTTTAGACACATTACCTTGATGAACATTGATGCAAAAATCCTCAATAAAATACTGGCAAACCGAATCCAGCAGCACATCAAAAAGCTTATCCACCATGATCAAGTGGGCTTCATCCCTGGGATGCAAGGCTGGTTCAATATATGCAAATCAATAAATGTAATCCAGCATATAAACAGAGCCAAAGACAAAAACCACATGATTATCTCAATAGATGCAGAAAAAGCCTTTGACAAAATTCAACAACCCTTCATGCTAAAAACTCTCAAGAAATTAGGTATTGATGGGACGTATTTCAAAATCATAAGAGCTATCTATGACAAACCCACAGCCAATATCATACTGAATGGGCAAAAACTGGAAGCATTCCCTTTGAAAACTGGCACAAGACAGGGATGCCCTCTCTCACCACTCCTATTCCACACAGTGTTGGTAGTTCTGGCCGGGGCAATCAGGCAGGAGAAGGAAATAAAGGGTATTCAGTTAGGAAAAGAGGAAGTCAAATTGTCCCTGTTTGCAGACGACATGATTGTTTATCTAGAAAACCCCATTGTCTCAGCCCAAAATCTCCTTAAGCTGATAAGCAACTTCAGCAAAGTCTCAGGATACAAAATCAATGTACAAAAATCACAAGCATTCTTATACACCAACAACAGACAAACAGAGAGCCAAATCATGAGTGAACTCCCATTCACAATTGCTTCAAAGAGAATAAAATACCTAGGAATCCAACTTACAAGGGATGTGAAGGACCTCTTCAAGGAGAACTACAAACCACTGCTCAAGGAAATAAAAGAGGATACAAACAAATGGAAGAACATTCCATGCTCGTGGGTAGGAAGAATCAATATCGTGAAAATGGCCATACTGCCCAAGGTAATTTACAGATTCAATGCCATCCCCATCAAGCTACCAATGACTTTCTTCACAGAATTGGAAAAAACTACTTTAAAGTTCATATGGAACCAAAAAAGAGCCCGCATCACCAAGTCAATCCTAAGCCAAAAGAACAAAGCTGGAGGCATCACACTACCTGACTTCAAACTATACTACAAGGCTACAGTAACCAAAACAGCATGGTACTGGTAGCAAAACAGAGATATAGATCAATGGAACTCACTTTTTCTTTCTTTGTTTTGTTTTTTTCTGAGACAGTCTTGCTCTGTCACTCAGGCTGGAGTGTAGTGTTGCAATCTTGGCTCACTGTAACCTCCACATCCTGGGTTCAAGCGATTCTCCTGCCTCAGCCTCCTGAGTAGCTGGGATTACAGACACGCACCACCACACCCAGCTAATTTTTGCATTTTTAGTAGACATGGGGTTTCCCCATGTTGGCCAGGCTGGTCTTGAACTCCTGACCTCATGATCCACCTGCCTTGGACTCCCAAAGTGCTGGGATTACAGGCGTGAGCCACCGTGCCCATCCACTACTCACTTTTTCTTAGCCTTTTGATTACTGATGAACTGGATTAGAACAGTAAGTGGATTGTTACACTTGACATTTTGTACTTTATCTGGAAATACTGGCATTAAAAACTAAGTCATATTGCCATTTGTATAATATTCTTAGATCTTTATATGAGTTTTTTCTTCAAATAAAAATTGTGTTTTTAAATGTCTTTGATATGATTGTTCAAATTGTTTGATATTTTTCTAAAACAGATTTAGGAAACTTCTGGCCCCACCATCAGAATGGACCCTTGATTTGGTTTCCTCTGACCTTTGGAAAACTGTTCTTTGGTATTATTGCAATATGCAAGAGGACCTCATAAGGTGCTCTGGTTCTTTCAGAATGGAACATGAAAACTGGAGAGTTACTGTCAATGCTCATTGAAACATCTTTTGTGAGCTGTGGGTTAGACTTTGATGCTTGCAAACCACATAAATAGCAAGCCATGGACTCCATTTACTTATCCCATTTCTCTGGCTTTCCACATTTTTCTTCCTATTCTTGTTTTTTGTCTCTTCATTATATTTCTTCCTCTTGATGGGTTTCCACCTCTATGTAGTATGTGTTTTCCTGACCTATTCTATTTCTGACCCTCACTCTGGGCAGTCCTGGCCTGCCATCTTGGGAAGCTATCTTTTTAGGAGCCAAGACCAGCTTGTGAGGATGGAGGTCTGGGCTTTCAGAAGCTATGCTGCAGAAACAAACACAGGCAAAAAGTACTCTTGCCTAACAACACCTTCATTACTTTGTGGAGTATTTCAGTTTTTTAATACGTTTTTTAAAATTTTTATTTTAGATTCAGGGGGGCACATGTGCAGGTTTATTATATGGGTATATTGCATGATGCTGAGGCTTGGGCTTCTAATGATCCCATTGCCCAAGTAGTGAACATAGTACCTGATAGGTAGTTTTTCAACTCTTGTCTCCCTCCCCCCAGTTTTAGAATCCCCAGTGTTTATTGTTGCCTTTTTTGTGTCCATGTATAACCAATGTTTAGCTCCCACTTTAAGTGAGAACATGTGGTATTTGATTTTCTTTCTGCATTAATTTGCTTAGGATAATGGCCTTCAGCTGCATCTGTGTTGCCATAAAGGACATGATTTTGTTCTTTTTTTGTGGCTGCATAGTACTCCATGGTGTATAAGTATCTTGTGGAAATTTGACCCTAAGTTCTGTTTCACGCAGTGTACCTTAGGCATCTGTTCTTGGATTTTGGTGTTTGCCAGGTTTTTAATTTTGATCCTATATCATAAGTTGAATTTTAGTGTCTTGGTCATACCTTAATGCTTCATTTCCTTCACCTGATTTTTAGTTTGTATTTCCTGCCTTGGAGTCATCAAACCCCCTCAGCAAGTTATATTAGTATCAACATCAAAATAGAGTGACCTGCAGAATATCTTAATACAGTGCTTAGTGGTGATGTTCATATTGGAAAAATTTAACAAAACAAAGTGCAGAAGAAGTCTCAGGTTGCAGTCCATATACAAATTCTAGAACATCAGAATCACTTGGGAAGATTTTGACGTCAGCAAAGTGTGCATCTAAGAAGTCCTAACTCTAAGAGACAAGAGGTATCATACTCCTGTTTCTACACAGAAAATATCTGTTTGTTAATCATATTGTTTAGTGGCTACTACGTGATATTTTGGGTATTTTACATTTATTTTATATGATAGGTTTGTTTTTCATATTGGCATTTTCCCGAGTTTTAGAACTAGTTATTTAGGAAATCAGTTGGCAGGGGAAGGGGTTGAGTGGTAGCTCATGCATTATTTTAAGACATTGGAGGACAGGTTCCTCTTGAGTGTTTTCATGGAGAACATCTGATTTTAGAAATATTTTATAGCCATTAAGTGGGAAATGCTCCTGTCTCCAAATCTGACCACTTACCATCGCCACTGATATTGCCACCGTGGTCCATGGATCTACCATCTATTCCCTGAATTCGTGTAATGAGCTCCCTGTTTCTACCTCTGTCCTTTCCAATCTGTTCCCAGCACAGCAGGCAAAAATGAACCCTCTGTAAATGTCAGTTCACTTTAGTCCTGCACATAGAATATTGTATTATCTCCCCATTTTACTCAGAGAAAAAGTCAAACTTCATTCCTTGGTCCATCTTTTCTTTTCCTATATCTCTGTAATATAGATCATAATCTGAAATGAAACTATATATTCATTAGTTGGATTTTTTGGAGTAATGTTTTATATTTTCTACCTTAATTTTAAAAGCATGTAAGTTATCTTCCTTTAAAAGAAAGATTATTAATTTGTATGTGATTTTTAAAATTCTTTCTGCGGTTAATGGCCCTCACCCTCAGGAGACAGATACTCCAATTTTAATATATTTCCTCATTTCTGAAGTGAAGATAAAAGTATCTACCAATAATACTTGTTTACCTCAAAAACCTCTATTGCCTTTTTTTCTCATCACACCTTTACTTATTTATAGAAACCTTCACTTATCTTAAATATGCTGGGACATGATTAAAGTTCTTTAAGCTATCCTGATCATAGTTGAATGACTTGTTTATAGATTTCAAGCAGATTTTAAATAAAAATTCATCCTAATAAAATAAAACAAAAATAAAAGTAAATTATTTTTGTTTAGGAAGAGCCCTCTCTGCGAGTTGGGTCAGGTCAGGGGAAGATTGTAGTGTGATTAATTTAAATTTAATTTTTTATGGACCCTAAAAATTGAACCTAAAATTTGCAATACATCTGTTTTTCTCACATTCTGTGGCTTTTATGTCAGTTTTCTTTAGTAAGTTTTTTACACGTGTGGATTACCCAAATAAATTTTTTATTAATATGATTTATTATTTCTTTATAGCACGTTTCCCAAACATATACATACTAGATTGTATGTATGTATGTATATCATGTTACATATTTACTTTTTATATGGTTGAGCTTTTTTATTTCTGTGAATCCATTTCCTCTTCAGGTAATTTATGGGATCATCTAAAGCTTAAATTTATGTTTGAAGTCTTTACTTCTCCAAAATTCTAACTCAGATATTAATATATGATTATAGATGTTTGTCAGTAATTATTTGCAAGTTTATCTCATCACAATTTGAAAATCTTTGTGAAGAGCATCAGACAACATGAACTCAGTGTTAGCGTTACTTGGAAAACTTGCAGAATAAATTTAAAAATGAAGAAAGTCTCATTTCAAACTGATTTTTCATATTTTGCTCTAATAATTCAAGAAAAGTAGACAGGCCAGATAGGCAGACTGGCAGAAACCTGGCCTCTGTGGTTGGCTGGAATTTACACAGGTCTTTCATATATGATTAAATAAAAGGTGACACGAAATTCAGAAATGTAATCTATAAGACAATCAGAGAAAAACAATTTTTGAAGCACATTCTTGTCAGTATTGTATAATGCCTGTCCTGTAACTGTAATTTTTTTTGTGTATCTGTCAAATGACATTAAGCTATACTCAATAATGAAGATAGCAAGAATTTGAGACCCCATGTTCATTTCTTTTTGTGACAGGAAGATCAGCCTTTTAAAAAATAAAAGAGGAATAGAAATTAACATTTCTCCAGAATTATGTTTCCATTCATTTGAGGTTATCTCTTAATTCCAGCATTTTACTGCATTTGATAAATAGGCCAAATATGTGTTTTATTTATTTGAGGGCTTGGGGGAAGCAATGAAACTTTACAAATTTCAACTGGCATTGCAGTCTGCTGATAAGGATGGGAGTTTGCACCGCTCTGAAGAGATTACATGAAGTAGAATTGGAAAGCAAATTGTATTTACGAAAGATAGGATGATGTTCCTAATAGGTGTTCAGAATAGGCTATTCACTCTCATATTCTGCTGAGCTTTGCTAGAAATAACTTCATTTCAAAAAGGACAAATCTGACTGAAGGTAAAAGCATTCCCTCTTCACAGATACTTGTCCAAAAGGGTTTACATTAAATTTTCCTGATGGGCACACAGCAGTATTTTATGCTGTATCTGTATAAACCATTAATGTGGAAAATACATATCTAAATAGTACACTTGATTGCTTCATGCACCAACCATTAGATTACTAGATTTCTATCTACAGTTTTCGGAGAGATGTTGCAATATGATGTTCTGACAATAACTGTCAAAGTCATCATACCAGGATCCATTTTCATCTTGTTGTTGAGGTAAAGTTATTAAAATGTACAGTTGGTAGGCCAGAAAGATCACTATCTCTTGTCATCTGTGGTTTAATGCTGACCTAAACCACTACTGTATAATGTCAGAATTATCACAGTGTCCAGGCTGCAGAAGTACAACATGCTACATGATTTATTGCATTTCCTGTCTGGAATGAAGATTATGAAAAGGCCAACAACTGTGAGCTACAGTGGTTTAGAAGAAAACTTAATTTCTAATTTTTATTTCTCTTTTTCCTCATTCATTTTAGATTTTGGATTTAGTAAAGGGGACACATTACCAGGTAGCCTGTCAAAAATACTTTGAGATGATACACAATGTAAGTATTTTTTTAACTTTATATCCTAATTATTTGTCTTTTGTTACTGTGTCACATTCAGGGTTTTTAGTTGCAGCAATGGAAACCACTCTAGCTATTTTCAGCAGAAAAGGGGATTGCATGGTATTAAGTAACCTACAGCATTTATTGAATGACCAGACAAACTAAGCTTGGATGCTGCAGAACCAGGAATATTTTGTAACTAGGAGAAGCTACATCATGAGAAAATCTTTACTACAGCTGTCACCCACCACTCCATATCTAGGGATGAGACCAAGGGTCAATAAAGTTTTTCTGTAAAGAGCCAGAGTGTAAAAATTGTAGGCTTCATGGTCCATATGGTCTGCGTCACAGCTACTCAACTCTACTGTTGTAGTGCAAAAGCAGCTGTAGAAAATATGCAAATGACAGGTATGACTGTTGATCCAATAGAACTCTATTGATAAAATTAGGTAGTAGACCCAGTTTGACCCACGGGCCTTGATTTGCCAACCTCTAGACTAGATCTAGAATCTTTGCCACAGCTGCCTAGAAGAACCAAGGCTTTTGCCATCTTCCATGCAGAAAATCTGATCCTTGTACTTGTGGCTGCCACCTGATCTAACTGTAATCCACTTCCCAAGTCTCATACTTATCTGCATGGCAAAACCTAGATTGCATGTGGACCCCTAACTGTACACGAGTCAGGGAAATGTGTTTGGTTTTTATCTTGCCAGCTTCCTTAGTACAAAAAAGCCTGCTTGATTATTAGAGTAAGAGTGGAAAGACCCAGTCTGGCACAGAATGGATTTTGAAGTGTGTAAAGCCAATGTCACAAACTCAGAGGCCTACAGAGATTGGGCATATAGCCCAAAAAAGTGAAGCTGCCTGAGATTAGTACCACAGAGTATGGCAGAATTATGGTGCACTAAACATGTTTGCCCTATTAGAGGCATTCACATTGACAAATTGTGAGGCCCTCTGCAGGCCAACAAAACACATCTCCAAGTCCAATTCAATCCTCTGGACCCTAGTTTGCATCCACTGATCCTGAGCCTGAATTTCTAACCTGGGAAAGACATCCAAGAACAGACTTTGGAGATCCTTGTACTTCTTGAAACATTTTGTCTCTAAGTACATATGTGTATTTTTCCAGAGTCCATGTTACTTATTAAAGATCCATGCCCTCTCAAAAAGGAAGTTGCATTTGTTGAAATCATCATCAGCTACCATGCTAAAGTTTTACAATTATTTTTATGTTTTTTATTTGGTTGTTACAAAGTAGTTTTTCTATTATGGTTATATAATTGCAGAATTTCTTACTTGATAAAATATCTCATAGGAAAAAGATATTTTATAATATTACCAATAATAATTAAAATAATAATAGTAATACCAGCCAATATCTATGGAACCCTTAATGCAGCAGTCCCCAACCTTTTTGGCACCAGGGACCAGTTTCATGGAAGACAATTTTTCCATGGTTAAACAGGGGCTGGTGGGAGGGCACATTAGATAATCATGAGAAGCACGCAACCTAGATCCCTTGCATGTGGGGTTCACAATAGGGTTCACACCCCCATGAGAATCTAAGGCCACTGCTGATCTGACAGGAGGTGGAACTCAGGCAGTGATGCAAGTGATGGGGAGTGGCTGTAAATACAGATGAAGCTCCACTCACTCACCCACTGCTCACCTCCTGCTGTGAGGCCCAATTCCTAACAGGCCACGGACTGGGTTGGGAACCCCTGCCTTAATGTATACCAGGCACAGCACTAAAATTTTTGAACGCATTAGCTCTTTTGATTGACATTACAGAAAGATACTATATGTATATTTCCCTGTCTATGAATAAAACTTAGAGAAGTTAAACAATCTGTGTGGGGTTACACTACTTATAGGGGATAGAACTTAGATTTAAATTCAAGCTGTCTAACTCATCTAAAGCTTGTGAGCATAACTATGACTGTACTGTCCTATGATATTTGGTACTAAATATGTGATAATGACAGCAGAGGTAATTGGCATTTTCCTGTTTATCTTCATAGCATGGTAAACAGGTAGGGACTCTAACTTGCCTTACATGCTGTAATTGATTAATGGAAGATCTGGAGCTAGAGCCCCAGTCTGTTGTGGGTCCTGTCCTCATTCTTCTATACCTAACTTTTGAAAGTATTATTCTCATTTAAAAGCTTTTTTTAAAACAAAACTCAAGGAGTAAACATCAAGAAAATAGCAACAACAAAATCTCATTAATTTTATCACACTAGGAATCTCGCCAGATAAGCCATGTTTGGCAACACCAGGTTTATATGACTCACTCTCTCGGAGACTGCATTCTTTAATTTGGTTGCTCCACTTGAGAGTTTTAATTTCCTATTGTTCTTTAATCATTTGTGGATGCTTTTAATTAAGAGGCCTCAGAATTTTCACAAGTGAGTTCTATTATCCAACCTCTTTTTATAAAAATAAGATATGAAAATTAGATTTAAACATTGAGTTTGTGGCATAATCACCAAAAAGGAAGGAGTAGTTTTTATTTCTCAAATCTGCTTTTGTAATATCTCTCCTATTGATTATTCCCTCAAGTATTGCCACTATTGCCAATTTTTAAAACTTGTTTTAGATTAATGAAGATTTTGGAAAGACATATATCTAAATCCCCTCATATATAAAAATAGTCTAACTTAAACCACACTTAAATCAACAAAATAAAAAGGCTGTTTGTAGTCACTAGATCTCTCACTGTGGACTTTTAGATGTGAATATCCTCCTTCATTTATATTTTTTCTAATTTAATTTAAAAATAGAATCTATTTTTATTGTCAGGTTTCTGCCATCCTACCCCTCCCTCAAATAAATCCTATGTTTATTTTCCCGAGGCCTCTGTGATCAAACTTACTTAAATGGAAGTTTTGAAAATAAACCAGTTAATTGATACCATTTGCAGCAGCACTATGATAGTTCCATATGGCTTTTTTGGTAATACCAGCTGCCTCATTATAAGCTGTCATTGCAAAACCTCTTGATTAAAACCCAAATATCCCATAGGTAAAACAATATTGCTTTCATTCCTTCAAACTCTACATTTGCAGTGGCAGAAATATGAGACCCATGTTTGTGTGAAGGTCATTGTGCGCAGAATGTGCTGATTCCAAACAAATGTTTAAGAGAGATTCATTTAGTAGATGTTAAAAGCTGGCCTGCTTGAAACCTGTTTTCCTCTGTATTTTTAGGATCAATGTTTAAAATAATTTTATACTAATAGTATATTCTTTCTGCATGTTCCATGTATAAATGAAAACACTAGGTCATGTGTAGATTAACCACAGAATTTTAATAGAAAATAATGTTTTCAGAGGTAGACCTCTTTGGACACTGAGTAACTGTGGGTACTATTTTCCAAATGGCTGAGCATAATTTTTCCCCACCATATAAATCTCTAGAGAAATCTTATTAAAACCTATCACACATTTTCCTGCAATCTTAAACAGGATATATGTGATACAATTAAGCCCTTTTATAATAACTCAGGGTCATCATTATGGATATCAGTTAGAATGCTGGGCTAGAAGCCACCATCATCTCACTTGGATCACTGCAATAGCTTGTTAACTCGTTTCCCAGCATCTACACATGCCCCATTCCAATTCTTTCTCCTCCACACAGCTGCTGGAGTGACCTTTAAAATAGAGGAATCTGATCATTTCAGGAACCTGCTTTTTAAAACCTTCAGTGGCTTCCTATTTCTCTTAAGATGAAATCTAAAATTTATAATGTATCTTCTAAAGGCCTCCACTCCACCCACCTTCCTCTAGACTCCTAAATTTGCTTCAGATCCTTTACAGGTCTTTGGACCTGAAACACTAGGACCAAGCTAGTGTGGTAGAATGCAAATGCTTCGCAGAATTTTCCCATCTCAATACATAAAATAATGCACAAAACATAATTTTTGAAATCATCAACCACAAAGAAAAACATCAGCAATAGTAACCAAAAAAGAAAACAGGCAAGGAAAGAAACAAAAGAGTCACAGTAGACAAAGTCATGAAAATGCTCACTTAATATTTCCAAACAGAGTAAAGGAAATAGCTGCTGACCTGAGAAGAAATAAGTGAAATGGAGGATTTAGATGTGGATACCTCTATTTCTCTATTCCTTTTCCTAATTTAATTTTAAAGTGAAGATTTCCATTCTCTTTAGTTTATGCTCTTCCCCTTCCCCCCACATACAAAAAAACCCCCTAAGTTTATTTCCCTAAACAATACAAAAGGAAACAGCCATGTACACTTCCTTTAAAAATGAAAGTGAAAGAAGCAGAACACAAAGAACTCATCCTAGAAGAAAATAGAATTCTATAAAAAGGAAACTTCATAATTTCATTTTGCTATCAAGCAACTTAGTAGATCACAAAGAGCATCAAAAATGAGTTAAGGACAATTGCAGATCAAGAAAAAGGAGAAACAGCATCACAGAGCCATGGCACAAATCCTCACTTCAAGGCCCTTGGCACTGTTTTAGTGGTTAATAAAAAAAGATTAATTATCTCTGAAAAAAAAGGCAGCAGCCCCAGTCAGGGGCTTACAGATAAAATCCCCATCTCCCTGGGATGGAGCACATGGGAGAAGGGGCAGCTGTGGGTGCAGCTTCAGCAGACTTAAACGTTCCTGACTGCCAGCTCTAAAGAGACCAGCAGATCTCCCAGCATAGCATTCGAGCTCTGTTAAGGGACTGCCTCCTCAAGTGGGTCCCTGACCACCATGTCTCCTGACTGAGAGACACCTCCCAGCAGGGGCCGACAGACACCTCATACAGGAGAGCTCCGGCTGGCATCTGGTGGGTGCCCCTCTGGGACGAAGCTTCCAGAGGAAGGAACAGGGTGCAATCTTTGCTGTTCTGCAGCCTCCACTGGTGATACACAGGCAAACAGGGTCTGGAGTGGACCTCCAACAAACTCCAGCAGACCTGCAGCAGAGGGGTCTAACTGTCAGAAGGAAAATTAACAAACAGAAAGGAATACCTTCAACATCAATAAAAAGGACATCTATTCAGAAACCCCATGCAAAGTTCACCAACATCAAAGACCAAAGGTAGATAAATCCACAAAGACTGGGAGAAACCAGCGCAAAAAGGCTGAAAATTCCAAAAACCAGAATATCTCTTCTCCTCCAAAGGGTCACAACTCCTCACCAGCAAGGGAATAAAACTGGATGGAGAATGAGTTTGACAAATTGCCAGAAGTAGGCTTCAGAAGGTGGGTAATAACAACTTCCTCCGAGCTAAAGGAGCATGTTCTAACCCAATGCAAGGAAGCTAAGAAACCATTGAAAAAAAGTTAGAGGAAATGCTAACTAGAATAACTAGTTTAGAGAACATAAATGACCTGATGGAACTGAATAACACAGCAAGAGAACTTCATGAAGCATACACAAGTATCCACAGCTGAACTGATCAAGCAGAAGAACAGATATCAGAGATTGAAGATTAACTTAATGAAATAAAACAAGAGACAAGATTACAGAAAAAAGAATGAAAAGGAATGAACAAAGCCTCCAAGAAATATGGGACTATGTGAAAAGACCAAACCTATGTTTGATTGGTGTACCTGAAAGTGACCGGGAGAATGGAACCAAGTTGGAAAACACTTCAGGATATAATCCAGGAGAACTTCCCCAACCTAGCAAGACAGGCCAACATTCAAATTCAGGAAATGCAGAGAACACCACAAAGATACTCCTCGAGAAGAACAACCCCAAGACACATAATTGTCAGAATCACCAAGGTTAAAATGAAGGAAAAAATGTTAAGGGCAGCCAGAGAGAAAGGTCAGGTTACCCACAAAGGGAAACCCATCAGACTAACAGCGGATCTCTCTGCAGAAACCCTACAAGCCAGAATAGAGTGGGAGCCAATATACAACATTCTTAAAGAAAAGAATTTTCAACCCAGAATTTCATATGCAGCCAAACTAACCTTCATAAGCAAAGGAGAAATAAAATCCTTTACAGACAAGCAAATGCTGAGAGATTTTGTCACCACTAGGCCTGCCTTACAAGAGCTCCTAATGGAGGCACTAAACATGGAAAGGAACAACTGGTACCAGCAACTGCAATAACATATCACATTCTAAAGACTATCAACACTATAAAGAAATTGCATCAACCAACGAGCAAAATAACCAGCTAGCATCATAAGGACAGGGTCAGATTCACACATAACAATATTAACTTGAAATGTAAAGAGGCTAAATGCCCCAGTTAAAAGACACAGACTGGCAAATTGGATGAAGAGTCAAGACCCATCGGTGTGCTGTATTCAGGAAACCATCTCACAGGCAAAGACACACATAGGCTCAAAATAAAGGGATGGAGGAATATTTATTAAGCAAACAGAAAGCAAAAAAAAAAAAAAAAAAAAAAAAAGCAGGGATTGCAATCCTAGTCTCTGATAAAACAGACTTAAAACCAACAAAGATCAAAAGAGAGAAGGGCATTACATAATGGTAAAGGGATCAATTCAAAAAGAAGAGCTAACTGTCCTAAATATATATACACCCAATACAGGAGTGCCCAGATTCATAAAGCGAGTTCTTAGAGACGTACAAAGAGTTGTAGACTCCTGCACAATAATAGTGGGAAACTTTAACACCCCACTGTCAATATTAGATCAACGAGACAGAAAATTAACAAGGATATTCTGGACTTCAACTCAGCTCTGGACCAAGTGGACCTAATAGACATCTACAGAACTCTCTACCCCAAATCAACAGAATATACATTCTTCTCAGCACCACATTGCACTTATTCTAAAATTGACCACATAATTAGAAGTAAAACACTCCTCAACATATGCAAAAGAATGGAAATCTTAACAAACAGTCTCTCAGACCACAGTGCAATCAAATTAGAACTCAAGATGAAGAAACTCACTCAAAACCGCACAACTACATGGGAACCGAACAGTCTGCTCCTGAATTACTACAGGGTAAATAATAAAATTAAGGCAGAAATAAATAAGTTCTTGAAACCATTGAGAACAAAGACACAACATACCAGAATCTCTGGGACATAGCTAAAGCAGTGTTTAGAGGGAAATTTATAGCCCTAAATGCCCACAAGACAAAGCAAGAAAGATCTAAAGTCAACACCCTAGCATCACAATTAAAAGAACTAGAGAAGCAAGAGCACACAAATTCAAAAGCTAGCAGATGGCAAGAAATAACTAAGATCTGAGCAGAACTGAAGGAGATAGAGACACAAAAAACCCTTCAAAAAATCAATGAATCCAGAAGCTGGTTTTTTGAAAAGATCAAAAAAGTAGACTGCTAGCCAGACTAACCAAGAAGAAAAGAGAAACGATTCAAATAGATGCAATAAAAAATGATAAAGGGGATATCACCACTGATCCCACAGAAATACAAACTACCATCAGAGAATACTGTAAACACCTCTACACAAATAAACTAGAAAGTTTAGAAGAAATGGATACATTTCTGGACACATACACCCTCCCAAGACTAAACCAGGAAGAAGTCAAATCCCTGAATAGACTAATAACAAGTTCTGAAATTGAGGCAGTAATAGCCTATCAACCAAAAAAAAAGCCCAGAACCAGACAGATTCACAGACAAATTCCACCAGAGGTACACAGCAGAGCTGGTACCATTCTTTCTGAAACTATTCTAAACAACAGAAAAAGAGGGAGTCCTCTCTAACTCATTTTATGAGGCCAGCATCATCCTGATTCCGAAACCTGGCAGAGACACAACAAAAAAAGAAAATTTCTGGCCAATATCCCTGGTGAACATCGATGCAAAAAATCCTCAATAAAATACTGGCAAACTGAATCCAGCAACACATCAAAAAGCTTATCTACCATGATCAAGTCAGCTTCATCCCTGGGATGCAAGGCTGGGTCAACATATGCAAATCAATAAACATAATCCAGTGCATAAACAGAACCAATGACAAAATCCACATGATTATCTCAATAGATGCAGAAAAGGCCTTCAACAAAATTCAACATCCCTTCATGCTAAAAACTCTCAATAAACTAGGTATTGATGGCACATATCTCAAAATAGTAAGAGCTATTTTTTGACAAACCCACAGCCAATATCATACTGAGTGGGCAAAACTGGAAGCATTCGCTTTGAAAACTGGCGCAAGACAAGGATGCCCTCTCTCACCACTCCTATTCAACACAAAATTGGAAGTTCTAGCCAGGGCAATCAGGCAAGAGAAAGAAATAAAGGGTATTCAAATAGGAAGAGAGGGAGTCAAATTGTCTCTGTTTGCAGATGACATGATTTTACATTTAGAAAACCCCGTTATCTCAGCCCAAAAACTTCACAAGCTGATCAGCAACTTCAGCAAAGTCTCAGGATACAAACTCTCTGTGCAAAATCACAAGCATTCCTATACACCTCTAATAGACAGAGACCCAAATCATGAGTGAACTTCCATTCACAACTGCTACAAAGAGAATAAAATACCTAGCAATACAACTTCCAAGGGATGTGAAGGACCTCTTGAAGGAGAACTACAAACCACTGCTCAAGGAAATAAGAGAGGACACAAACAAATGGGAAAACATTCCATGCTCATGGATAGGAAGAATCAATATCGTGAAAATGGCTGTAATGCACAAAGTAATTTACAGATTCAATGCTATCCCCATCAAGCTACCATTGACTTTCTACACAGAATTAGAAAAAACTACTTTAAATTTCATATGGAACCAAAAAAAAGCCCACATAGCCAAGACAATCCTAAGCAAAAAAAAAAAAAAAAAAAAAAAAAAAAAAAAAAAAACAACGCTAGAGGCATCACACTACCTGACTTCAAACTATACTACAAGGCTACAGTAACCACAACAGCATGGTACTGGTACCAAAACAGATATATAGACCAATGGAACAGAACAGAAGCCTCAGAAATAATGCCACAGATCTACAACCTTCTGATTGTTGACAAACCTGACAAAAACAATCAATGGGGAAAAGATTCTCTATTTAATAAATAGTTTTGAAAAAACTGGCTAGCCATATGCAGAAAACTGAAACTGGACCCCTTCCTTACACCTTATACAAAAATTAACTCAAGTTGGATTAAAGACTTAAACGTAAGACCTAAAACCATAAAAACCCTAGAAGAAAGCCTAGGCAAATCCAATCAGGACATAGGCATGGGCAAAGACTTCATGACTAAAACACCAAAAGCAACGGCAACAAAAGCCAAAATTGATAAATGAGATCTAATTAAACTAAAGAGCTTTTGCACAGCAAAAGAAACTATCATCAGAGTGAACAGGCAACCTACAGAATGGGAGAAAATTTTTGCAATCTATCCATCTGACAAAGGGCTAATATCCAGAACCTACAAGAACTTAAATTTACAAGAAACAAACAATCCCATCAAAAGGTGGGTGAAGGATATGAACAGACACTTTGCAAAAGAAGACATTTATGTGGCCAAGAAACATATGAAAAAATGCTCATCATCACTGGTCATCAGAGAAATGCAAATCAAAACTGCAATGAGATACCATCTCATGCCAGTTAGAATGACAATCCTTAAAAAGTCAGGAAACAACAGATGCTGGAGAGGATGTGGAGAAATAGGAATGCTTTTACACTGTTGGTGGGAGTGTAAATTAGTTCAACCATTGTGGAAGACAGTGTGGCGATTCCTCAAGGATCTAGAACCAGAAATATCATTTGACCCAGCAATCCCATTACTGGGTTGTACCCAAAGGATTATAAATCATGCTACTGTAAAGACACATGCACACGTATGTTTATTGTGGCATTGTTCACAATAGCAAAGACTTGGAACCAACCCAAATGCCCACCAATGATAGACTGGGTAAAGAATATGTGGCACATATACACCATGGAATACTATGCAGCCATTAAAAAGGATGAGTTCATGTCCTTTGCAGGGACATGGATGAAGCTGGAAACCATCATTCTCAGCAAACTAACACAAGAACAGAAACCAAACACTGCATGTTCTCACTCATAAGTGGGAGTTGAACAATGAGAACACATGGACACAGGGAGGGAAATGTCACACACCAGGGCCTGTTTGGGGGGGTGGGGCTGCTAGGGGAAGGATGGCATTAGTAGAAGTCCCTAATGTAGATAACAGGTTGGTGGGCACAGCAAACCACCATGGCATGTATATACCTATGTAACCTGCATGTTCTGCACATGGACTCCAGAACTTTAAGTATAATTTAAAAAATACTAATTAAAATGAGGATTCATTAACGATATGCACATACCTTAAATATATCTTAAAGTTAAGACATTTAAATGCCATTTATTAGTTAGGGCAGGGTCTTTTGAGTATCGTTTAGTGTTTGGAATTTGATTTTATCTTTCTTTTATAAACTATACCCATAATACAGCATCAGACGTTTCCAGTTTGGATTCCTTAAAGTAGAAAAGGAACTTGATATATGCAAAGCAATAGGATCTTTCTCCCTCTCCTTCTGTGACCTCCACCTTTTTTTTTAAGTGACTTGCTTTTCTTGACTCTTTAAAAACATTTTCTTTAGATTTCATAGAACAACTCTTTTTTTTACATTCATTTTTATTTACTTTTCCCATAGCAACCCTATGACCTAACACTGTTATCTCCATTTCATCAATGGAGAAACTCAGACTTTAAGAAGATGACCCTATTTTGTGCAATATATGAATTATAATTGATTCATTTGAAGTCTAATAAATGTATTGATAACTGACAACTTGAAGCGAGGTATAGAAAATGCCAAGATATTATTATAGCATAAGATACTAGGTTATTTTTGCATGAAATAATACAACTATGTTTTTATAATCCTTGTAGCCAAGTTTATCTCTAGAAATAAAATTTATAATGGAGATATCATTATCAGCATGATTTTGCATACAATCTCTTAAAACAGATTTCAGAGCAACTAATGATCTAGTCAGAAGGCCTGAATTTTAATTCAGACAAAACCAGTTACTAATTCTATGACCTTGAATAAACTATCTATTCTCCTTAGGCCTCTGTACATGGAGGAGATTGAATTTAATGGATTCCCCAAGGTCTTTCTAATCTCTGATTTTCTGCTTACAAACTATTTTACAAACTATAAGGCCTTCTGATTAAAATGTATTAGACAATAAACATACTTTTTGTGAAACACATTGCAAAATGCAAAATTTATATTGGATTTCTCAGTTTTTAATGAATTGGGTGAAAATTGAATGTAACAAAAAAGTTCATAATAAAAAAGTTCATAAATGATTCCATTGTTAATAAAAATTATAAATATAAAACATTTCAGAAACATTTTGAAATCAAGCAGCTAAGTTAAAAAAATAAAGCAAGATAAAAATTTGTTCTTAATGATCTATAACTCTTAAAATCAGTCTGTATACTATCCATCTGTTACAACCTGGAATTACTATAAAATTAGCCTAACATGTATTAACAACTAGCAAAAGAGAATCAGAGATTCCTAGGGTGCTTAAATAAGTATTACCAGAAAAGACTCATGTTTCTGTCTGTTGGTCCGTCCACCAGTAGGGTTCATTCTAGACCGCAGCAGCAACCCCTTTTTCCCTGACCAATTCATTTTAATCTACTATAAGATTATACATAGCTTTAATCACACCACGTCTCTTTTTAAGGGTTTTTGGTGACTCTGTTGCCTAGAGAATTAGGTCTTGACCACTTACCCTGATTTTCAAGGCTCTCTCAGGCTGGCCCCTGCCTGTCTTTCCAACCTCATTCCTTATTGTTTCCTTGTATGTGCCTTTCATAATAGGCTATGTGAACTATTTAATATTTGCTTTCCCAGGACATTCCCTCTTTACCTTGCTCATGTGGCCCTGCTGCAAATATTGCCTTTCCCCTCATCATCCCAGCTTTTCACTCCCTCCATCTTTCCAGACGCAACTCAAATAGCACTCCTCTTACAAAGCCTTCCTTGATCTCCTCAGTCGAAATTTCTCTCTACTGTGGAGTGTAATAGGCCTTTATCTGTGACCCTCATCAGTTCTCCATTCTTGGTAGAGGTTTTTAAGTATGTAACTTACTGGGCTGGAAATTTGAGTTAGTCAAATATATTCCTGTATGCTGAATAGCGAATAGTTTATAACACAGTCTTTTATATAGTAAGGCTTTAATTAAATATGCAAAATTATCACTGGTATACACTATTTCTGGGTTCACTTCACCAAATATTTATTAGATACCTACAATGTGCAAGTCACTTCAGTATGAAGGGTGAGACGTAAAAGGATTAGTTAATACAAGACAGATGAACAAAAGAAATGGAATCACTTCTCAGTTTCCAAAAACTTGATAAATGAAAATACCACCAAAGAAACCAACAGTCACTCACTCAAGCAAAATGATATTTTTGTTGTCAACTCCAACTGCAGAAGGTGAGAAGGCAGGGATTTGAGACTGTGGAAAGTGAAACTGAATATAAGGAGAGATTACTAGAGTGCATAATTTGAAATGATACTCAAAATTAAAGTTTAATGATAGTATTTGAGAAAAAATAAGTTATGAACCAGGCATGTTTGTATTCAGTCACAGTGAAATTTACAAGAAGAGATTTTCTGTAAAAAGACTAAGGAAAGGCCAAGATTAGAATGAAGAATTACATTGACTTAGGTTGCTTTTTCAGTTTATATCATACTAAAGGAGCGCACATGCCAGACTTACAAGTCAGCTCTAAAACACAAGTGGTATCAGGGACAAGTATCAAAATGATCAAAAATGATTTTACAATCACTTAAAAACCCACAAATATTTATTGGCCTACAATGTGGTAGGCCTTTTCTTGGAACTGGGGATACAATAGTGAATCACACAGGTCCCTAACCTGTGCCTCACTAACATACAATGTCATTCACACACACACACACACACACACACACACACACACACACACACACACACACACACAGGTTTGTATTCCAAACACATTTTTATAGTTTTCTAATTTTTTGTTTTGATGTAATTGTCAACCAGAATTGGTAATGTTTTGGGTATTGCCAGAATTGAGGTCTTGGTGTAGATGGGAGGTGGCAGGTGGGAGTTGGGGGCTGGGGATGTGAGAGAAAGGTGTCTAGTATGCCCCAAGGATGAATGGTGATACCAGTCACTGAGAGCAAAGGATGGGGAAAGGGGAAAGAATATGTTTCCTGTTGGGTTTGAGCTGCTTTTGAGCCATCTTAGATGTTGAGTAGGTGTTGGATATGGGACTGAAACTAGACAGGGAACTGGAGCCAAACACAGAGGCTCAGACTAGAAATAAAAATGTGGGAGCCATTTAGGTTTGGGTAGTGGTTGAAGCTCTCTTTGAATGAAATGGTGTAAGTAGCTGATTAAGTGTTAGAATGCATACAGCTAGAATCCATGTTTCAGGTATTAAGTTTTAAACAAGTACTAAAACAGCTTTTGAAACTCATATATTTATAGCTTTGCCATGTATTAATGCAATATAAATTTCCTTCCTTTACAGGTGGATGATTGTGGCTTTTCTTTGAATCATCCTAATCAGTTCTTTTGTGAGAGCCAAAGTATTCTAAATGGTGGTAAAGACATAAAGAAGGAACCTATCCAACCAGAAACTCCTCAACCCAAACCAAGTGTCCAGAAAACCAAGGATGCATCATCTGCTCTGGCCTCTTTAAATTCCTCTCTGGAAATGGATATGGAAGGACTAGAAGATTACTTTAGTGAAGATTCTTAGGCAGTTTTCTAACCCATTTTCCTCAATAGCCTGTTTCCTGTTTTTAAGATTTTGCCTTTGTTGTTGAAAAAGGGTTTCACTCTGTCACCAAGGCTTAGTGCAGTGACACAATTACAGCTGATTGCAGCCTTGACCTTCCCAGCTCAGGTGATCCTGCTACCTCAGCCTCCCAAGTAGTTGGGACCACAGGTGTGTACCCCATATCCAACTAATTTTTTTCAATTTTTTTTTGTAGAGGTGAGGGTCTCCCTATGTTGCCCAGGCAGATCTCAGACTCCTGGACTCAAGCGATCCTCACACCTCAGCCTCCCAGAGTGCTGGGATTACAGTTGTGAGCCACTGTGCCTGGTCTTTCTTTTTTTAACCTTTTTGTTTAACTTCTCTCTTCATTGCATCCCAATCCATCTACAGGCATGCACACTTATTAGGAAAGCAGGTTTGAGGTAACAACAGAGACTTTCACTATATTTTACTTTGACAGAAGGAAAGAGGAAGAGTTTCTATTAAAATCTGTCATTTGAGTGATGTCATTTAAGTCCTATTTTAGGAGATAAAAACAGCTTTGGGGACTGGTTAAAGTCCCCCAGAAACTACAATAAAGAATAACTTTTGTTTTAACTCTTAATCACTTTGTAATTTTGACTCAATCCTTTTCTGGACCATTTTTGTTAATAAATGTCAAAGTGTACATGACAGTGTCTGCGTATAATTGGGAGAGTCTTATGTCATAACAGATTGGACATTACTTCAGTTTTAAAGTGGTAGTTTGAAGTATCCAACACATTGCTGATCACTAATGAATATTTTAAACTTTTCTTTACCTTTTTTTAAGAGTTGACCTATTTGTGGTTATTCTACATCAGGCACCAGACTCTCCTGAGTGAACTGTGACTTGGGAATTAAAATAAAGTATAGCCAGTTATATTTATTAAGGAATAATAGGGATATTTTATTATGTAAAATAATGACACGTCTTATCTGCTGCCATTACTCTGGGGACAGGTTCATGAAGAATAGACAATTAGCAAGCAAGAAAGTTGTACATATAAAATAAAGTGTTTATTTTACCCTCCAACTTCCATACCTTATTGCTTCTGTAGTTGCTGTGAATTACCAAATAGATTTGGTAAATTAATTAACTTCAGCAATGAATAGTGATACTTATAGTAACCCCCTCCTTTAAGTGCCAGCAATAGAATTTAATAAATGTTGTGGATGATTACAGACATACGAGATCAATGCCCTGTTCTCTCTGCCTGCTTTCGTCAAGGGAGTAAGGTGAAGTTGATGATCCCTGGCACGTATGCCTTGTGGAGCAGTGCCATTGTGGATACCCTCATCTAAATAGTGATTTCCTCCCGGGGCTCTACTCACTCACCAATAGGATTTGGGGTGTTCAGGAAACCCTGTTTGAAACATAGTTCTTCCTCATCTATTACCTTGGAATATGTGAAAAGTATTAGTCTATTTCTGTCTTCTTTTCTTAGTAAAGAGGGATACTTTTATCCTTTTGAATCAGATACTAACTAAATTGAAAAGAGGACATTGTATTCAGAAAACTAGACTGTTAGCAGCACCATATTTTTAATCATGTGATAAACTGCATCACGATGAAAAGGATTAAACAGGATCAGATCATCAGAAACTAAAAATGTCAACTAATTGAGTTTTCGTTTTAGGCTTCTGAGTCAAAGATTTCTTGGAATATTTAGCAACGTATAATTAAATGAGATACTATCTAAACTTTTACTTGTCTTGGTGAATTATTATTACCTAGTTCAGAAAATAGTATTATTCCACTACAAATTACCCGTATAAATCTCTGCCTTCTGAAACCATCTGCTACTCCCTTCATCATTTGTCGTTCTCAACAGGAATCTGATGATTGCCTACCACTTTATCCATGGACTGCAAAACCACAAGTCCTCTTTTTAAAAAAAAAATAAGAACAAGTGCTACCTGGAGCTGTTTTAACCACAGAATTAAGTTAGCTTTAGAAAGCCGAGCATAGAAATGTAGGTCTTCATTGTGTTAAAAGGGAGATATTAGAAGTACTCTCGCCACTCTAGTTCAATGAGAAATTTTCTGATAGAATGTTTTGTATCTGACAGCATTTTGCAAGGCTGTCTTTTTCTACTGCTTCACGTTCTCCTTCTTTTATGAAGCCTGTGATCCCACCAGCTAAAAGGACAGAGTCATTAACGGCATGGTAGATGCAGCTTACTGGACTGTTTATTTTATACTGGCAGCCCCAGGAATTTGTGTCATCTTACTTGAATGTTTTATATGTGTCTAGTTGAACTCCAAAATAACACTAGTTTAAATATTAGTTGTATTACAGGTTCAATTCAATTTATTCATAATAAGGTTTGATCTCCTGTCATGTATTATACAGAAGAATATATAAACATTCTGTGAAATCTATAGATTAGAGGATAGGGGACACAGGTTTATAAAAGAAGAACAAAATTAATGCTTTTCTGGTGCTTTTTGGAGTTGGAAAAAGCAATTTATTTTTCATGCTTCACAGGTCTTGACAATTTTGTTTTCTTTGAGAGCAGACCTGTTTGAATTGGGTGATGTAAAGAACCCAAAAGAAAAAATCAAAAGCCAACAGACTCTTTTCAAAACCGTAGCCAGTGAAAAAGAATATGAGTCTTCCAGATCTTTTAACTGTTAGTCTTTTATTATCTCTTCAAGGAAGAGAGGCTGTATGATTGTATCAAAGACAAAAGAAGAAACCGCAAAAGAAAGAAACTAGGTTGGAAATCTGTAGCTGGTTGAAGCAATGACATTGTTAGGAGAAATTCTGTCATATTTCTTTCAAGTTGTTTTTCCATAATGTTTTTCACTCTGTCCATACAGTAAAAAACTTAATTGCCATGTGCATAAAAGAACACTAGGAAGGTTTTAAGTAAACTTTTTAGGACTGCTTATAATATTGTAGAGTCATAAAAGTGAATAGTTATAGATTTCAAATGAGCTGGGAATGGAATAAAGCAATGGGAAAGATCTTTAATTCACATACAATTTTAATAAGCTAAGGGAATTCTTCTCTCTCTAAAAGCATGCAGGTTGTTTTGCTTGTTACACTTTGCTGTCTTATTAATACTCAGGGTCTTTGCAAGCAAACTTCTGTAATTCTTTACAAAGAAGAGAAGAAAACTTCTGGGATTTAAGCTTGAAAGGCGAAATGAGACAACTCTAAAGTTCTGTTTCAGTTAGGGTCTACTCTGCAAATTTAATCAAGGTCTTCCACAGGCATCAGCTTGACATTAAATTTAAGTGCCCATTAAAGTGAGAGTTTGACAGCAGTTCTGAATGTGAAGCTCAGTCTGAGGACATCTTTACAGCTGGAAGGGAAAAAAAACGTTGAGAAGCCTCAAACCACTGTGGTAATTAGATCCATTTGTTAACTTCTTTTTTAATGTTGGCAAAGGGAGGGAGAGAGAAGGTTGACAGAGGCTGGAATCAGGAAGGCAGTCCAGAGCTCCCTGTAGAAATCAGGTAAGCACAGGGTCCTGTATTGCAGAGAATACTGGCAGATATTCCCTCTGACAAATGAGTGAGATGGGGAATTTATTTGATGAACTTCATTCGGTTTGTCTTCCTTTCAACACACAGAGCCATGGTGTGTGGAAGCTGCGTTTTTGGATAGGTGTGCTGGTTTGGTTGTAAGGCCCTTTGGAAGACACAGAGCATTATTTGGGAGTGGACCTCTGGTGGTACGTTGTTGGCCTGAAGAGTTAATATTTCTCACAAGGGTATCTAACTTATATTCAGGTAATCACTTATTTACCCAAAGCATCTGGTCTTTTCAGTATTGAATTCCTTTTTCACAGGTCACGATTGCCCTAGTCTAAGGCTTCTCACTATAATTGGCATTGTAGGCAATTAGCTTCGTGGAAATCATGTCACTGGTAGGAAATTATCTTCCTACTTCACTGACTTGCCTGCCAAAAATGATACTAGTTCTTGTTATTGGTTTGCTTTCTATCCTGTAAGCTCTTTCTGTTCATTGCTTCATGACATTTTACTTTTTCCAGAATTATCACTGTAGAACCTTATCAAAGGCTAAAGAATATGTCTTTATATAAAGCTCCTGCATTTCCCTTGAGCTTTCCATTGCAGTACTGTTTTTGAACATTGATGACAAGGTAGTGAAACAACACTGCTAATAAATATATAATGGGTTTTTCAATTTAACCTTGCATTTCTAGGTATTCATTCACCACACTGAAACTATGAGGCTTTTTAAGGTTTTGTTTAGTTTTGTACTGAAAGCACAGGGAAAAATAAATTCAACAAATACTGCATTTAATTTAAGACTGACCATCTTGTGAACATTTCCCCGATTACTCCCACACATTTTTTTAGGAGATCTTACCTTCTATTTGAGTCATGGGATACCAAGGTCTTCATTGCTGATTAAAAATGACATAGTGATACCTACTTCTCTTTTCCCTTTCATTATCAAGAATTAAACTGTGATTTAAACAATGCTCTATCACCCTTAACTCTTGGTTGTCCATAGAGTTCCTGCCTGGTTCTCTTCTTACTTCATGAGTCTGCCTGAGTGAACTCATTCACCCCTATGGTATTTTTTTCCATCCATATGCAAATAATCCCCAAATTTGTATCTCCAGCTGAGAATTCTCTGAGCAAAGATCCATCTATCCAGCTATCTCTTGGATCTCTTTTTAGGATATCCCACAAGTATCTCAAATTTAATTTGTTCAAAGATCAGACCTGTTCTCTCACCTATTTCTCACCTATTTTGTCAATACAGAAACCCTAAAGTTAACCTTGACTGTGATTTTCCACCTTCTCCATCCAAATCCAATTGATTCTATTTTAATACCAGTGTGTCTAAACTAGTAGATCTCAAATGGGGGTAATTTTGCCATGCAGGAGACATTTTTGGTGATCACAACTGGAGGAGGACCTGCTCTTGGCATCTAGTGGATGGAGGCTGAGGATGCTACTAAACATCCTACAGTGCCCCTACAGTGCACAGGACAGTCCTTCACCACAAAGAAATATGTGGCCCGAAATGTGCAGAAACCCTGTTCTAAACAGTTTCCTCTCCTCCCTTCCTTCCTTGTACTACATTAGATTGCCCTCTCATCATTCTAAGCGAAGTGGTCTCAACTAACTGGTCTAGTCTCCATTTGCCCACCCTGAACCCCATCCGATATCCTTCTTCAAAATCTAATCCAAATACTTTTCCCCTGGGTGTGTGTCTTGAACACGGCTCTCCGTTACCTATATGAGGAAGTCCAACCACCTATTATTTTGTGCGTGAGGCCCTCTATGACCTGGTTCTGTCTACCTCTCCAGTTCCATCTATTGCCATTCAGCTCCCTACTCTATAATCCAATCCAGTGATTTAGCCATTCTGCACAAACTTTCCCTGCACATTCAACTACACACTCCCTCTTTCCTCATATTACCCTCCCTGCCTGGAATGCCCTTCCATTCCCCACCATGCTAACTACTGTTTCTCCTCTAAGGCTCAGGTTAGGTACATTCCTTCAGCCTTCTCTGTTGACCCCAGTATAGATTCATTGTCCCTTTCAGTTCATCTAACATATGCTATGGATGTTATACTTAATAGCTATATGACAGTACTTATACTTACAATCATCCATTTACTTATGTTTCCCTTATGTTTTATAGTACCCATTTACTTATGTTTCCCTTATGTTTTATAGTACCCATTTACTTATGTTTCCCTTCATTACACTATAAAGTCCTTGAGGACAGAAACTATATCACTTTCATATTTGAATCCCTAATAATTAGCATTGTCTCTAGTTCTTTGCATCGTGCATGACATTCTTGGGCACTCAGTAAACATGGGTAGAGTGCATGAATGGTTACTTGCTTATTAGGAATCTCAAATTCATTGTTTTTAAGACCTACAAACAAGGGGTGGAATGGATTCTGGGCCCCAGATTGGAGACATCACTTACAATCAAAACTTGGGCAAGCTCTTTAATTTTCCATGCTTCATTTGCTTCATATGACAAGGGGATAATGATTACACCTACTTCAAGATGATTCTATTAGCTGCTATTACATCTACAACAGTCAGAATTCTGTCTGTCACGTGGAAACACTTGTGTTGTTTGATAATCAACCCTTCCAACAAATGTTATACTACTACATGGATTCTCCCTATTTCAGGGGCATTCATTCTGAATATCCCTTACCTGGAGTAATCCTCTTATATCCACTATAATGGGGTAGACTGTGGGATCTAGGGGAATGCACCAAACAAAGTTTTAGCAAAAAGCACACACGTCAATGGATCTATGACTGCCACACCTTTGACACCTTTGTAGCCAGGCAGGGTAGATGGAGAATTGCCAACTATGAAACTGGAGGATTTCCTACATATGGGATATACTGTGGTATGAAAAGTTGCTCACAGGGTGTCACAGAGTACTGCTTGCTCTTAAAAAGGAAGAACTGAGGCAACTTGAGCTTTGGAATATAGAAATGTCAGTGGGTTTACATATGACTCCCAGTGAAAGTGATACCTGTGGGGTACCTAGTCTCCAAGCACTTAAAAAAGTAGTTTTAGGTAGATCAAATCAGGTGCCACCATGGCACTTCTGGAAGTGGATAAGAACGGTAATCATCTGCATTTTCCCTAAAAATGACTCTGAGAGGCCTGGCATGGTGGCTCACACCTGTCACCATCACTTCAGGAGGTCAAGGTGGGAAGATCACGTGAGGCCAAGAGCCTGAGACTAGCCTGGGCAACACAGTAAGACTGTCTCTACAAAAAATAAACTAGCCAGGTATGGTGGCACTCACTTATAGACCCAGCTACTCAGGAGGCTGAGGCAGGAGGATCGCTTGTACCTAGGAGTTCGAGGCTGCAGTGAGCTATATCTAGCCACTGTGCTCCAGGCTAGGTGACAGAGTGAGACTCTGTCTCTAGGGGGGAAAAAATAGATTAAATTCTCTGAGCTGGCTCACAGGTTCTCTGATCAAATCAGGCACGGTGACTTCTTGGTCTGTGCACTTCCTTCTTCATCATGGTTTTCTCACCAAGGGCCTTAGGACCAGCTCCTATGACTGAGCAGCCCAACTTGCAAGCCGCAACTAAACCAACTCATTTCTATTATGTGGCAAGTTAATTAACCCTCCTGCTTCAGTTTCCCTATCTGTAAAATTGGGATAATAGCATTACCTACATCACAGAATTTGTATGAGATGAAATGAGATAGCCAGTGTCAAATGCTTTGTGAACAGTCTGACACATGGTAAGCTCGAAATAATTGTTAGCTATTATTATGCAAAAGTTCTACTAAATTTTGTTTGAAATAGGGTTATCCAAATAAAGTTTGGAAACTATAATAAACTTTTGTGCATCAAAGGGTAAGAATTCTATGGAATACAAATTCTAAAACCCTTAGCCCTTCAGATAAAAAAATAAACTACAGACTCTCAGAATTATAAAGAATTTCTACTACCAGGATTTCTCCTAACTGTGTTTTGCTTGGCATCATGGAATAATCTATGCAAAGTAGAGCCAGGATTCCTCAAGGATCTAGAACTAGAAATACCATTTGACCCAGCAATCCCATTACTGGGTATATACCCACAGGATTATAAATCATGCTACTCTAAAGACACATGCACACATATGTTTATTGCAGCACTATTCACAATAGCAAAGACTTGGAACCAACCCAAATGCCCATCAATGATAGGCTGGATTAAGAAAATGTGGCACATATACACCATGGAATACTATGCAGCCATAAAAAGGATGAGTTCATGTCCTTTTCAGGGACATGGATGAAGCTGGAAACCATCATTCTCAGCAAAATATTACAAGGACAGAAAATGAAACACCGCATGTTCTCACTCATAGGTGGAAATTGAATGATGAGAACACTTGGACACAGGGAAGGGAACGTCAGACACTGGGGCCTGTTGGGGGGTGGGGGGCTGGGGGAGGGATAACATTAGGAGAAATACCTAATGTAAATGACAAGTTGATGGGTGCAGCAAACCAGCTTGACACACGTATACCTATGTATCAAACCTACATGTTTTGCACATGTACCCTAGAACTTAAAGTATAATAAATATTTAAAAAAAAGAAAAAAAAAGAGTTTCCGGGACAAGTCCTCACCCTACAGTTGTTCACATTCAAAGCTTTTTGGAGAGGCTAAATATAATGCAGGGTGTGTCTCAAAAGAAAACACATAAGGGAATGGACTACCCTCAATTTCCTTCTCTAAACTGAGGACTTGTTTTTGAAGACTGAAAAAAAAAATTCCTCTTGCAATCTCAAATGGTAATATAGTAATTTCAAAAGTTGCTCAGAAGCTGTTTGTTTTCGATAGTAAAATGAAAAGTTAAAATTGTAAAATTGTAAGCATCAAAAATCAATCAGTATCTTTCTTATTTGAACCTTGATATTAAATTATATAGGTATTCATTTTACTTGTCCCTTCCTTCTTTTGCTTTAAATGCAAAAATGACAGAAAATTCTTACTCAGCCAAAGATTATTTTTATATTCCATCTTCTCTTGTGATGCTTCTTGCACCCATATTAGGAAACAAAGTCTTGAAGTTCTTTGTAATGTTATATGTTACTTCAATTAAGTATGTACAAATGTCATTTTTTAATTTTTAAACTAGAAAACAAGATACATTTTTTGAATTTCTAGCCACTTAGACTTATTTTTACAATTTGCCTCTTTATTCAGTCATATTGTCTGTCATTTCCTTTCTTTTATATTTGGTAAAAATTTTCATAGGCAAAAATTTTCCCATTATGATCTAATGATTTTTAAATTTTCCACATTCCTAGAATTCTGATTAAACAATCTCAAGGCATTTTTCAATTCGAAGCTCAAATCAAGCATAATTCAGGTTCATGAACATATGGAGATAATGATGGCTTAGAAAATTTGCTTTGACCAAACTGCTGCTTTTGCTGCCTTGAAGCTCTGTGGCTATTTGCTTTGTAAATTTCTCCCCACTGTGGTTTCAGATACCTTGGGGAAAATAGACTCCTAGGCATACGAGGAGGACAGGATGGTAGTGGGAATGTAGAAGGATAAAGGTTCTACTCTATTGCTCTGGTTCTACACCCTTCAATTATATTACAGGGGGTCAACACTGAGGTGGCACTTCTAACTCTCAGAACTCTGTTAAGAACATCTCTACCTCCTAGTGGTCTTTTTGTTGATTCCTTTGTTTGTTTTACTAATAATGTATTGTATTTTAACTGTTATAGCTTTTATACCATTTAAATTGTTTTTCTGATAATTTTACCCCAATTTACATCTGTCCTACTATGTAAGTGTCATGCTTTGATGTGCTTCCTTTTTTCATATACTTTTTAATTGAAGATAAAATATATACAGAAAAGTGCAGGAAACATTATTGCACAAACTTTTACAAATTGAACTCACCGTATAACAACGCAGATTAAGAAACTGAATCTCAACAGCACTCCCGAAGGCCCCCCTCATACCAGCTTCTAGTCACTAGCCCCTTTCTCTTCAAAGGTAATCACCTATTCTAACTTTTAGCACCACAGGTGCCCTGCTCTGTCCAGGTCTGAGAGTTAACAAAGGCTAAAGTCACCTTCAGGAGTATGGCCATCCTTGGTGGATTGACACCTATGGCTGTGCTCCATTGCAGCTGTTCCCATGCCAAATCTGGGCTCTGCACAGGCTGGAGTGCTGTCTGTTTCAACTCTCTGGGTAGTTCTCTCTGCCAGCTCAGATGTCCATGGGGGTGTGGGGTCTCCTGCAGCTTAGGATTCTGGAGGTTGATGGTGAGAGTGGGCCACTCCATATCTACTTCACTCGCTCCTTCCCTAGGGACTGCTCAGGGCCAAGAACAAGTCCTGAGGCTCAGCAACCCCATGCAGGGTTCCCAACTTCCTTCCTTTCTTTTTAAAATTTTTTTGTTTTGTTTTGTTTTATTTTTTTTCTGAGATGGAGTTTCACTCTTTTTGCCCAGGCTGGAGTGCAATGGTATGATCTTGGCTCATTGCAACCTCTATCTCCTGGGTTCAAGCGATTCTCCTGCCTCAGCCTCCTGAATAGATGGATTACAGGCATGCCCCGCTAATCCTCCCTCCCCTTTTACTCTGCGGTCTGTGTCCTCTTTCTGTTCACTCTCAATGCCCTCTTTCTAAAGAGGGTGCCAGTTTACTTGATGGTCTTGTTGGGAGACCAAAATAGGCTCTCTTGGTGGGAGAAGCTTTTCTTGGCTGTGTCTAGTCAGCCATCTTGGCTCTTAGCCCTTTCTTGTCTTCTTAAAGTCTACTTTGTCAGATATTTATACAGCTACATGTTTGTTTTGTATTGTATTTTAACTATTATATTAATATGTATTTTAATTATTTTATTATATGTATTTTAATATGTATAATTAGCTTTTATACAATTTTGGTTGTTTCTGTGGGATATATTTTTCTGCAATTTTATTTTTAAACTTTCTATATCATTATACTTAAAGTCATCTCCTCTAAGCAGCATATAGCTTAGGCTTTGCTTTTGTATACAATCTGGTAATCTTTGTCTTTATTTGCACATTGGTTCCATTTACATCTAATGTAATCACTGATATATTTGGTTTTAAATCTACCACTTATGTTTTGTTTTCTATTTGTTTCATCTGTTCTATGGTGTTCCTTTTCTCTCCTTTCTGGATTTCTTTAAAAAATTTTGTTTCGCTCTTACATTTGCTTGTTAATTATATAGTATTTTACTATTCTTTTACTGTTTAACCTAGAATATATAACAGGAATCCTTAACTTATTAAAATCTAATATAAATTAGTACTTATGTTTACTATTTCAAGATAATGCAAGCACCTTTATTTCCATTTATCTTTCTCCTGCGTTATATGTTAACATTTAATTATATATTTTAAACCCTTAATTCTCTCTGTATTTTAAGCAATACATTATTATTGTTTTATGCAGTTATTGTTTATTTAGCTCTATCTACATATTTATTTACCCGTTTCATTACTCTTTATTCTTTCCTGAATTTTCATTTGGAATTATTTTCCTTCTAACTGAATAACTCCTTTTAGTATTTTCTTTAGTATGGGTAAGCTGATGACAAATTCTCTTAGTTCTTGTTTGGTAATTTCTTTATTTAACATTCCCTTTTGAAGGATATTTTTACAATGTATAAAATTCTAGGTTTGAATTCAAGTATACATTAATAGATAGTTTAAAATTTTTATTTATGTGTATACAATAGAATATCGTTCAACCTTTAAACAGAAGAAAATGGACACATGTTGCAACATAGATGAATTTTGAGGACATTGTGCTAAATGAAATATACCAGTCACAAAAAGACAAATAGTACATAATTACACTTATATGAGATATCTAAGGCAGTCAAATACATAGAAACAGAAAGTAGAATGGTGATTGCCAGGTCACTGGGGGGAGGAGAAAGAAGAAAAGGGGTTGTTTAATTATATGTACTGAATGTTATGTTCACCCCAAATCCATGTTAACACCCTAATTCCCATTGTGCTGGTAGTTGGAAGTGGGACCAACTTTGGGAGGTAGTTAGGTCACAAAGGTAGAGCTCTCATGAGTAGTGCCAGTGTGCCCTTTATAAGAGGAGACATAAGAAAGATGATCTCTCTCTCACCACCATGTGAGGATACAGCAAGAAGGCAGCTATTTGCAAACCAAGAGGACTCACACCAGACACCAAATCTGCTGGCACTCTAATCTTGGTCTTCTTAACCTCCAGAACTCTGAGAAATACATGTTTGTGGTTTAAGCCACTCAGTCTATGATATCTTGCTATTGTAGCCTGAATTAAAACAAATAGGGGTAGAGTTTCTGTTTTACAACACAAACAAGTTGTAGAGATTGGTTGCACAATAATGTACATATATTTAATACTGCCTAACTTTACTCTTAAAATGGTTAAAATGGTAAATTTTATGTTATGTGTATCTTCTCACAACTTTTTTTTAAAGTCTAGGTTTGCAGTTGTTTTCTGTACCACTTTAAATGTTATTTTTTTTGTCTTTTGGTTTCCATTGTTTCTGTTGAGAAGTTAGCTGTCAGTCCTAAAATTGCTCCTTTGTAGGTAATACATCTTTTGTTTCACACTGCTTTTATGTTGTTCTCTTTGTCTTTAGTTTTCAATAGTTTATTATATACATAGGGTATTTTTTCTAGTTCTGTAGGAGATGTGTGATACTTCTGAAATCTGAAATTTGATGTCTTCAGTTTTAGAAGATTTCCTGCCATTGTCTCTTCAAATATTGCTTCTTCTCTTTCATTTCTAGAGACTGTCTTTTTACTTTCTGTTTTTTAGTTTATATATTTTTATTGAGGGACAATTCTCCATGACATTTCTATATATTTTGTAGATCTTTTCAAGGATGTTTGTATAGCAAACCAAGATAGAAGTAGTGTTTCATTCTAGGGTGGAGGGTAACTTTGTTTCATCAGCATCATAAAGATAATGTCCTCCTCTGAGACAAAGATTGGTCAGGTTTGCTAGAAGTCCCGCATAAGATTAGGGATTTCCTAAGCCTGAGACTCCTCAGCAGTGACACAGATCTATTATGTCAACAGACTCTACTTAGACTCACCTCTGTATCACTCCCATGGGACTGGGGATGGGGAGTGGGTTACAGGGGAACTAAAGCCTTGAGTAGTATCTTTGTCTCTGACAGAGCAGTCTGATGCTTTCTTTCAGCATCTGTGAAATTGCGACAGCCTAACTTAGCTTGCAAGTAGGCTAAAATCTCAGAACACTCAGAGTTCATGACAATTTTCTACTGAGCTATATTTTAGTTCACTAATGCTCTCTTGATTGTTGTGACTAATCCACTGTTAAATATATTGGGATTTTAATTTCTCTTACTGTATTTTTTTAGTTCTAGAATATCCATTTGATTCTTTCGTGTAGCTTCTAGTTCTCTGTTAGGATTCTGAATCTAATTCTCGATTTTTTAAAAAACGTAACTTTCACAGGTATTTTTAAGCCCCAGTTTGTTAACTCCAGTGTCTGGATTGCCTGTGAATTTATTTATGTTGTTTGATTTTTTTTGATGGGCTTATCTCTACAAGTCCCAGCCAGAAGCCTTGGGTTTTTATCAAGGCTAGTATTCCTTGGAAATCCCAGGACTCCAATTTTTATGTTCCCCAACTCCATGAATCTGCTGTAAGGTGTGCTGCAGTTTAAGCTAGAAGCAGACTACCGCAATCCGAATAGGGATGGATGTTATTTAAGACTAGGTTTCAGCCTTCGTGACAACAAAGACCATATATAGCTTTTGAGGGGTCCAAAATGAAAGCTCAGGGTATTAAGGAGGACTCATCTTGCTAGGCCTTGAAAGATTGACAAAATTCTTCCAGTTTATCTAAGACTTTCCCAATTGTAGTACTAAAAGCCCCAAATCCTGAGAAACCCCTCAGTCCCATGAAAACTGGACAGTCATCCTAGTTTTGAACTCCAATTTTTTAAATCTCAATATTTATTTCAGAAGGCTAAAAACTCCAATTAGCTTTTCAGTTTTTTGACTGGTCATTGTGAATCAGCAAATATCTAACGGGTTGAAAGGATGCCATGTCCCCATATAAACCCAAGCTCATTTCCATTGTTCGGCCTTTAAACTTGCCTTTCCTTTGTCTGACATGGTCTTCTACTAAATTTTCTTGCAACTGTCATTATTCATGGCTCAGCTCAAGCATCATCTCTTAAGAACAACTTATGTAAAGCAGCCTCATTCTCAGTGTACTTTCTATCCCAATGCTCCATTATATGTTCTTCATAACTCATCACTATCTCAAATTACTCACTTGTTAGATTACATTTTTATTACCTGTCTTATCCTCATCTAAGTATATATTCTGGGAAATAAACTCCATAAGAACAAGTACCTTGTTTATCTAGTTTATTTCCATATACACAGCATCTAGAACAGTCCTAGAACTTAATAGGGCTCAATAAATACTTACTGAATAAATAAATAAATGTCTTCTGCTGATTTGTATTTTCCAAAATTTCTCAAAACCTTAAGGCTGCCTAAATGCAAGTTGCACCACAGTTAATAATTCCTTACCTATTTGAGTCCTTTCTCAAGTAGATTGAAATTGAGTTGTTTTATAGGGGTCGTTTTCCCAATTGTTTTTGCAGTTAACCAATGCTATGGTTGAATGTCCCTTCCAAAACTCATGTTGACATTTCATTGCCATATGATAGTATAAAAGGTAAAACCTTTAAGAGGGGATTAAAGGTAATCCATTATCACCCCTGTGATTAATGCTATTATTACAGGCATGGATTAGTTACCATAGGAAGTAAGTTCCTGATAAAAAGGAATTCTGCCCAGTTTCTCTCTTGTGCAAGTGCTTCTCATTATGTGATGCCTTCTGCCATGTTATGATGCAGAAAGAAGACCCTCACCAGATGCAGCCCCTCAGCCTTGGACTTCCCAGCCTCCAGACCTTTTCTGTATAAGTTACCCAGTCTGTGGTACTCTGTTATAGAGAGAAAATGTGCTAAGACAACCAAAGATCACACTGCAAGACCTAGAAGTTTAACTTAGAATAATTTAAATTCTCTGAGAAATTCACAGCTTAACAGCCCATGAACATCTTCATATGTCCTTCAGAAAGTCATGCAGGGGTGGCTTTATATTAATGACCAATCTGTCAAAGCAAAATGCAAATGATGATGAGTCACTTTGTCAAGTGGGTGTACTAGTGCTGTGGACTATTGATGAGCTCAAAGGAAGAGGTCATGCACTAGGGAACTCACACTGTGACAAAGATTCTCATTAGTGTTATTACTCTAAGACCTCTTATCAGCCAATAAGGCTCAAAAGGAAAAATAAAGAAAACCAGAACTGGGGCTGACATTGGGAAAATAATTATGCTGCTATTGTGATATTGCTTATGAAGTACACCCTCAAAAATAAATGACAAAATGCCTAAAATACAATTTTCTTGGTATACATTACTCAGTAAGATGAAGAGTATTTTATACATGAAGCAGTGATATGAGGATCTGATGATGGGCAAAACATTTTTATTGCATGCTTACAGAAGCCAGGTTAAGAAAGTAAGATGTATAAATATAATTAAACATCATACTCATAGCTACAATTTGTTGGGAGAACCAGCATCCTTGGCACCATCTTCAACACCATTCTTCCTTTCCTGCAAACCTTGTTGCTTCTAAAATCAAACATATTCACAACATGACCATATCCCACTACCTCATTGTTGTATCCTGTTCAAAAATGTTATCACTTCTTGCCCAAATTATTGTAGTAACTTTTAGCTGATTTAATCCGTTTCTAAATTGCTTGAACACCTAATGATGGCTCAGCAAAAACTAACATTTTAAAAGGTATTCATGAATAGTAAGGTACACCAAACTGAAACAGCTGTTTTTCTAAGCCTTTGCAAAGAAGGGGGAAAGCTATTGGGTGTGGAGGTGGGACAGAGGAAAACTATAGCCAGTGGGCCAAATCTCATCTGTTTCCTATCTTTGTAAATAAAATTGTATTGGAGTACAACCATACCTATTTATTTATGTGTTGCCTATGGCTGTTTGTACTACAATGGCAGGGTTGAGTAGTCCAAACAGAGATGTATGACCATCAAAGCTTATTATATTTACTATTTGACCTTTAAAGAAAAAAACTTGTCAGTTCCTGAACTTAGGATATAGCTCATGTTCTTGTAGAACCATTAGAATAAATCATACTATGTTTATTTTCCTTAAGTGTAGTTAGGAAGTATCTATACACATTATTCTTAAACTTCCAGAATATTTCCGTAAAGAAATTTTGTCAAAAGTCAAACCTAAACAAAGCTGCCTTCCTAACACAACCTTGGTGTTTCCAAGAAGTATATAGCTCAGTTCCAGTCATCTGAAAACTAATGTTCTGTCCATCAAAGTAATTAAAGTCTTCAGTCCACCACCATTTAAAATTAGTGCTCTGGCCAAACCGCCACAAATGCTCTATGTGACTCCATTTTCTGTTGTGTTTCCTTGTCAGATTTGATTCTTTATTTCACTGAAATGGACCAATTTTTGGAAGAATATTATTCCATTCTGAAAACTTCCTGTAAGGCATGCGTTTATTACATGGCATGAGGTGCTTGAATTAATGCACTACCTATATTCTCAAGGCTTTGAATACCATATGTCAAGTATATATTCTTATAGATTTGAACTTAAAGCATTCCTTCTGCTCACTTGACATTTCCCTGCATCTTCTATCTGTCTAAAACTAAACTCTCAATCTAACCCCTTCCCCTGCCCAGACCTGCTTACTTCAGCCATCTCCATCTAGTTACAGCAGCTCCACCCTTCTCATCACCTAGGCTAAACCACTTGAGTTCATCCTTAGTTTGGATATACAATGTGTGGGAGAGGAGTCTAACAGACAGTCTGTGATGGTTAAAACTGAGTGTCAACTTGACCGGATTGGAGAATGTATAGGTGTGTCTGTGAGGGTGTTGCCAAAGGAGATTAACATCTGAGTCAGTGGGCTGGGGAAGGCAGACCCACCCTTAATGTGGTAGGCACAGTCTAATCAGCTGCCAGCAAAAATAAAGCAGGCAGAAAAACGTGAAAAGGCGAGACTGGCCTAGCCTCCCAGCCTACATCTTTCTCATGTGCTGGATGCTTCCTGCCCTGAAACATCAGACTCCAAGTTCTTCAGTTTTGAGACTTGGACTAGCTCTCCTTGCCCCTCAAGCTTGCAGACAGCCTATTGTGGGACCTAGAGATTTATGAACTCATATATACATATATATACACACACAGACATATATACACACATATATACACATATATGTATATATACACATATATACATATGTATATACGTATACACATATATGTATATATACACATATATTTATATATGTATACACATGTATATATACACATTTATATATACATACATACACGTGTGTGTATACACGTATACGCAAATATACATGTGTGTATACGTGTACACACACACATATGTGTAAACACGTACACATATACACACATACATGTATATACACACATATACACACATACATGTATATAAACATACATATATACACGCATACATGTATATACACACATACATACACACATACATATATACATGCACACATACATGCATATACATACATATCTACACGTATACATATGTGTATGTACACATGCATACACACATGTATACATGTATACATATGTACATATACATGTATACATATGAACACGTACATATATACATGTATATATGTATACATGCATGCACATATGCATGCACACATGCGTGCACACATGTATACATGCATGTGCATATACATGCCTGCATGTGTGTACATGTATGTGTACAAATATACATATGCATACATGTAAGTGTATATACATGCATACATGCGTGTACACACGTGTATACATGTATGCATGTACACATCTATACATGCATGCATACACGTATACATGTATGCGTATATATATGTGTACATGTTTGCATATACACATATACATGAATACATGCGTATATATACGTGTATGTGTGTATATACATACATATATGCATGTACACATGTGTATATATACATGCATATATGCATGCATACATGTGTATATATACACGCATATATGCATGCATACATGTGTATTATACATACATATATACTCTATACGTGTGTGTATATATATATATATATATACACACACACACGTATACATACATATATGGGGAATTCCCTATGATCAGTTGACAGAGGAAGAGAAGACTAGGGCCTGGTTCACTGAGGGTTCTGCACAATATGCAGGCACCACCCAAAAGTGTACAGCTGCAGCATGACAGCCCCTTTCTAGGACATCCCTGAAGGACAGCAGTGAAGAGAAATCTTCCCAGTGGGCAGAACTTCAAGCAGTGCATCTGGTTGTACACTTTGCATGGAAGGAGAAATGGCCAGATGTGCAATTATATATTGATTCGTGGGCTGTAGCCAATGGTTTGGCTGGATGGTCATGAACTTGGAAGAAGCATGATTGGAAAATTGGTGACAAAGAAATTTGGGGAAGAGGTATGTTGATGGACCTCTCTGAGTAGTCAAAAACTGTGAAGATATTTGTATTGCATGTGAGTGCTCACCAACAGGTGACCTTGGCAGAGAAGGATTTTAATAATCAAGTGGATAGGATGACCTGTCCTATGGACACCACTCAGCCTCTTTCCCCAGCCACCCCTGTCATTGTCGAACAGGCCCATGAACAAAGTGGCAATGGTGGCAGGGATGGAGGTTGTGCATGGGCTCAGCAACATGGACTTCCACTCACCAAGGATGACCTGGCTATGGCCACTGCTGAGTGCCCAATTTGCCAGCAGCAGAGAGCAACACTGAGCCCTCGATATGACACCATTCCTCAGGGTGATCAGCCAGTGTCCTGGTGGCAGGTTGATTATATTGGAACTCTTCTATCATGGAAAGGGCAGAGGTTTGTCCTTATTGGAATAGACACTTACTCTGGATATGGGTTTGCCTATCCTGCCTGCAGTGCTTCTGGCAAGACTACCATCCATGGACTCACAGAGTGCCTTATCTACCATCATGGTATTCCACACAGCATTGCCTCTGACCAAGGCACTCACTTTATGGCTAAATAAGTGAAGCAGTGAGCTCATGCTCATGGAATTCACTGGTCCTTCCATGTTCCCTATCACTCTGAAGCAGCTGGATTAATAGAATGGTGGAATGGCCTTTTGAAGTCACAATTACAATGCCAACTAGGTGACAATACTTTGCAGGGCTGGGACAAAGTTCTCCCAAAGGCTGTGTATGCTCTGAATCAGAGTCCAATATATGATACTGTTTCTCCCATAGCCAGGATTTATGGGTCTGGGAATCACGGGGTGAAAGTGGAAGTGGCACCACTTACCATCACCCCTAGTGATCCACTAGCAAAATTTTTGCTTCCTGTTCCACGACATTACGTTCTGCTGGCCTAGAGGTCTTAGTTCCAGAGGAAGGAACACTGCCACCAGGAGGCACAACAACAATTCAATTAAACCGGAAGTTAAGATAGCCACCTTGGGCTCCTCCTACCTTTAAGTCAACAGGCTAAGAGGAGAGTTACAGTGTTTGCTGAGGTGACTGACCCAGACTATCAAGATGAAATCAGTCTACTACTTCATAATGAAGGTAAGGAGAAGTATGTATGGAATACAGAAGATGCATTAGGCTGTCTCATAGTATTACCATGCCCTGTGATTAAGGTCAATGGGAAACTACAACAGCCCAAGCCAGGCAGGACTACAAATGGTCCAGACTCCTCAGAAATGAAGATTTGGTTCACTCCACCAGGAAAAAATCTGCTACCTGCTGAGGTGCTTTCTAAAGGCAAAGGGAATACAGAATGGGTAGTAGAAGAAGGTAGTCATCAATACCAGCTGCGACCACATGACCAGCTGCAGAAACAAGGATGGTAACTGTCATGAGTATTTTCTTCTTTAGTTAATAACATATTTGTGCATTATACACTTGTACTAATAAAATATCTTCATTTCCTTTTCCTTTATCATGTGACATAAGATTTATTGACTTCCTATCAGCATTTAAGTATTGTTAACTTTATGTAATAGTATTTGGGTTGGGTGTTGGTGCATTTCCAGTTGTATGAAGGATGGTTGTATTATGTTAGTGCAGTTATGACCTCATTATTGTCTTTCTTTGAGATTGTGTATGATCTCAGGAGATGTGTATGGGTTCAAGTTGACAAGGGGTAGACTTGTGATGGTTAATACTTAGTGTCAACTTGATTGGATTGAAGGATGCAAAGTATTGATCCTAGGTGTGTCTGTGAGGATGTTGCAAAAGGAGATTAACATTTGAGTCAGTGGGCTGGAGAAGGCAGATCCACCCTTAATCTAGTGGGCACAATCCAATCAGCTGCCAATGAATGTAAAGCAAGCAGAAAAAGTGAAAAGGTGAGACTGGCCTAGCACCCCCAGCCTACGTCTTTCTCCCGTGCTGGATGCTTCCTGTCCTCAAACATTGGACTCCAAGTTCTTCAGTTTTGGGACTAGGACTGGCTCTCCTTGCTCCTCAAGCCTGCAGATGGCCTATTGTGGGACCTTGTGATTTATTAAGACTTAATAAACTAATATATATATATATACATATATAAATATATTTATTTATATATAATATATATTATATAAATATATAAAAAAATATATATATTTATAAAATATATTTATATATCATATATATTTATATATGTATTTATATATAATTTATATTTATATATAATTACATATATAATATATAATATATATATTTATTTATTTATATATATAAATATATGTAGGATCTCAAGAGATGTCTATGGGTTCAAGTTGACAAGGGGTGGACTTGTGATGGTTAATACTGAGTGTCAACTTGATTGGATTGAAGGATGCAAAGTATCGAAGCAAAGTATTGATCCAAGATATATATATATATATACTATTATATATATATCCTATTTTATATATATATATATATATATATATATATAATCTCCTATTAGTTCTGTCCCTCTAGGGAACCCTAATACACAGTCTTATCGCCTTCTAAATAGATTCAGAACCTTCTTACTTCAAACTGTCTCCACAGCCACGCCCCTAGCTCAGGCCACTATTGTCTCCACCTGGATGATTGCAGAAGCCTCCCTGCTGGTTTCCCTGCTCCTGTCCCTTACAATCTGTTCTGAACAGAGCAGCCAGAGTGATCCTGTCAAAACTTGAGTCTGGTCATGTCCACTCCTCTGCTCAAAACCCTCTGATGGCATCCTGACTTGCTCAGGATAAAATTGGAAGTTTCTACAGTGATCTACAGGGTCTAGGTACCTATGACCTCTCTGGCTTCATCTCCTTATTATCTCCCTTGCTTATTCTGATGTAGTTACATAGGCCTCTTTATTATTCTTGGAACTTGATAGGCAAACCCGTCCTTTGCACTTGCTCTTCCCTTTGTCTGGAAGTGGCTTTCTCCCAGGTAATCCAGACAGCTTCCTCCCTCATTTACTTAAAGTCTTTGCTCAAATTCACTCCGTCATTTGTTGAATACCCTGTAAGTCAGCATCCCTGCCTTGAATATCCTTATACTTTATTCTAGCAGCTATCACCATCATTTCATTTTTAGGGTCCCAGAACAGAGACTTTCCTTTGTTCACTACTGTAAGCACAGTACCTATTATAGTGCTTAATCTAGGAGATACTTTTTTTTTTTTTTTTGAGATGAAGTCTTGCCCTGTCGCCCAGGCTGGAGTGCAGTGGTGTGATCTCAGCTCACTGCAAACTCTGCCTCCTGGGTCCAAGCAATTCTCTGCCTCAGCCTCCCAAGTAGCTGAGATTACAGGCACCTGCCACCAGGCATGGCTAATTTTTGTATTTTTAGTAGAGACAGGGTTTCACCATCTTGGCCAGGCTGGTCTTGAACTCTTGACCCTTGTGATCCACCCACCTTGGCCTCCCAAAGTGCTGGGATTACAGGTGTGAATGCCCAGCCAGTACCTAGGAGATTCTTAATACATATTTCCTGAATGAATGAATGGGCACTTAACTATGTTCCAGGCTCTGTGTTAAATTCCTTACATACATTTTCTCATTGAACCCTCAGAACAAAAAAATTGGCCTGTGTTGTTACATACTTTTAATGCTGAGGAGTAACTCTCTCCAAGTCACACAGACTGGAAGTACCTCAAGATATGCTGGCTCTGAATCACTAAGCTTTATCACCATCTCTCCTACTTCTTATGAGAAGCTTATAAGGAACTTACAAAAAGATGACTAATGTTAGAGGGGCAGAAATAAGTTTCCTGACCTTTAGCTGTTCTTTCACAGTGAGGGAGGAAAAGGGAGGTGCCTAAATTGGCCAAGGGGTTGAAGCTTAAAGGAGGGGTTTCTTTAGAGAGATTTGGTGCCTGCCTTAGTAGGGATAAAGAAAATTTCCCTCAAGGTTAATGTGAGAGTTTAATAAAAGGAGTGTTTACAAAACTGTAGGAAGAGTGGAGGGAAACTACAAAGCATGCTTCTGTACCCTGGAACTCATATCAGCTGAGTGCTCCTAGGACTGGAAGAGTCACCGGGGTGGAGAATGGAGCTGGACAGGTGAGGGCAAGGTATCCAGCAGAACAAAGGAAGGAGGGACCTTGGGTTTCCCAAGTATCCAGACAGATTCAATTTGCCATGCCACATAAGACCTTGTGGTGGACACTCTTGCTGCAAGTACTTGGGACTCTCCTAAGGGGTTTTTCTGGCCTCAGGAGGAAGCCTGGGCATTTGCACAGCAGGTTGAAAGTGCCACGTGAATGAACACACCAGGAGGCATCCTCACAAATGACAAACATAAGTTGGTAGACAGTTATCCAAACTTCCTCTCTTTTTGAGTAGGACCACACTGTAGCTGGTTCTTGACCATCTCCCAGAGCCTCCTGGCAGGATTGAATTCCAGTTGCCTCCAGCAGTAATTTGCTTACCAACAAACAACATGGCTTCTTTCCCTTTCCTGTTTCACTCCATCCCTCTCTCACTAGGTGTTTCTTGGGATCACCCCCAAACAAATGGCTCTCAAATCTTAGTCTTAGGGCAAGGTGCATGGCCCATGCTTGTAATCCCAGCACTTTGGGAGGCTGAAGTGGGCAGATCACTTGAGGTCAGGAGTTTGAGACCAGCCTGGCCAACATAGTGAAACCCCATCTCTACTAAAAGTACACAAATTAGCCGGGTGTGGTGGCATGCACCTGTAATCCCAGCTACTTGGGAGGCTGAGGCAGGAGAATCCCTTGAACCTGGGAGGCGGAGGTTGCAGTGAGCCGAGATCACGCCACTGCACTCCAGCCTAGGAGACAGAGTGAGACTGTCTCAAAAAAAACAACAACAGCAAAAAACCAAAATAAACAACCTTAGTCTTAGGATCCACTTTTGGGGAACTCAACCTAACAGAGACCTTGACAAAAACCTATGACAAACTGGAGTTTAGGAATAGTAAACATTCAAACAGATTTTCAAGTTAGGCCACTGGTATAATTTTGGAGGCTACAGGGCAAATTTTCCTATTGATCTGCAAAAAGCAACGGAAGCCATAGGCTTTATGTCCTTGGATTCTTTGAGTGATATTGGGAGGCAGAGAAAGGAGGGGAAGAAATGGTTATTAATCCCTGGTTTACCAAATACATTGTCAGGCTGGGCAACTTGCAGATGGTCTTGCCTGTTGTCTGGGAGGAGTGACTGAACAGCGTTCTCCCAGGCTGTCTGTGTTCTTAGTCAACTGAGTGAGGCTAAGACATGAGAAATGAAGAGCTCCAACTTTGTTTGGGTGCAATTCATTCATTCATCCATTCAATGAATATGGAGTAAACATGACAAAATGCCACGTAAGATGCTAATTATTATGCAAGTTACATTCACTAACACCACCTTAGAAAATAAAATCATGAGAATAATTAAGTTCAAATACAATAGACTAGAAAATAATCAAATTTAACCATTTATTTTCTAGGATGTTTTCTACAAGACATTATTTAGACAAACTTTTGACTGCTAAGGCCATTCTATACATTGTAAATGAAAATTTTATTGTTATAGATGTTATAAATATACATGCTTAAGAAGTTAAATTTTCTCTTTACTAAAATTCTATTAGTCTGTAAAACCATTTTGTAAGGACCAAAAATATATATCACAATTTTAGTTACACTTCATCAAATTCCTATTCGTCTGTATAAGTCACATATCTTTTTTCATCTTAATATTTTATCCTCTGGATAAAAAAACAAACAAACCAAACTTTTCAGCTTAGCTCTTTAAATTATAAACCATCTTACTTTTTTAACTATAGCATATATGGTTCAGTAAAATCATATTGTACCTCTCTTAGTAGGTAAACTTTATGTACAGACTGTTGTTTCTAAAATATATTTTACCATTTCTTAAGTTTCCACGTGTAAGTGTGTTTGCCTAATTTGAAGAAATTAGCTTTTCTCTCCAAAATTTATTATCTGAGCTCCCTATAATTTTTCAACATAACATCTTTTATTTTAGACATACATTTAAAGCACAGATTTCATCATAATTACAGAATTAAAATAACCTTTAAATATATAGACACGCTTTTTTTCTCCTCATAGAAAGTCCACTTCTATGGTATTAACTTTTTTATATTTAGTATCATGAGGTGAACTATTGAATCTCATGTTAGATTTTCACTGGGCTGACTGATACCTAAGCTATTGTAGTTTATATCTTGAATCTCATTGTTTTACATATACACTATGTGTAAATATTTTTATACACACATACACTACAGACACGCAATGTTTTTAACTTCATTTTCAATTGTTTCTTTTTATCTCTCTGATGTTCATTCTTCAGAAGTCCTCTCCTTCCTTATCTTGTAGGTATGCTTTATTTACGAGTTTTTCTCAGGGGTAGGTATGCTTTATTTATGAGTTTGACTTTTGGTTAGCATTTGTAGTGCTGATGTGTAATGTGTTATGTTAATCTACTTAGGTAGCAATTGTGTCACGTCCTTCCTGGGAAAGTCAACTGGGGCTCAGTGGAGAAGATGTGGGAATGTGTGAGAGGTGGCAGCGGCCCACATGCTCATTCTCCTTCTGAAATGTAATTTACTCTGGTTTTGGGTAAGTTACATCAGCTTTTCTTGAAAATACAAAGCTGCTTGATCATAGTTGAGGGCAAATAACTGAGTTGAATTTGTAGTTTTGCCCCTGGAATTAACCTTGGGCAGGCAACAGAAGCACATCTCTCCACTTTGTTTTGGCAGCGTGAGGAATGAGAATAATAATGCTGCCTACTTTATGAGGAGAGCCTTAATGCATTGTACTTCTGTAGAACATTGTGAGATCCTGCCACAAGGGGTGCTGGGAGGGCCTGGATGCTATAGAAATCTAAATGCCATTATTCTTGGTATTTCAAAGCTGTTCTCTCAGGGTTATAGCAGTCTCTCACCAGTGGTATTGAATTATTGTTATGAATAAGAACTGGAATCTAGTCAGAAGAAACTGGAAATCTTAAGTTTTTATTGTTGCCCCAGACCTGAGCTTTTTGTATACATATGTGATTCTCTAAGATTAATTAGCTTAGTTGTTCCACATAAAAACAAAAACAGACTGGAAATGATTTCTGCTGCATCTCTAACAAAACAGGATATCAGCACCCAGATGTCCAGAATGCAGACAAGGCCAGCAGGAGAGGGAAGAGGATGATGATGGCAAGATGGACATCCAGCCCCATTCTGGGAGATTTCATTATGGGTGTGGGATGTAACAGGAACAGTGGCATATGATGAATGTCAGTCATAAATCAGGCTGTTTGAAGATTGTCACTGTTGGCCTGGAGAGTCAGATTATTCTCACTGGAACTCCTGGAAAGTCTTTCTGTACTTCTGTATCTACTGCTGATCAAATTAGAAGGAAGTAGTACAACGGATGTATAAATATAATTCAGCCTCCCACCTCTACCTCCAAATAGTTATCTGCTCTGCAGGAGCCTCTTCTCCGGTATCCCTACTGCCAGCCTTTCTCAGGTTCTTCCATCCACCGTGCTACTGCCAGAACACTTTTCTCCTGGGAACAAAATCGGAATTTCTCTCTCTCTCTCGCTTGAAAACCTCTCAATTCCCAGATGTTGCCCACAAGACTCATTCCAAATTCCTCTGGCAGGAATATAAGGCCAGTTACAATTTGGCCTCAAGCTGACTCATTCCTTTTATTCCTGGCCACTGTAATCCTATGCTTTAAATTCCAGCTTCAGTAAATTTTTTAGCACTTCTTTAAACAGCAGGGCCCTTTGGTCTGCCTTTACCCAAACTGTTCCCTTCACCTGAAAACACTGTCTGCCCGAAGCCACCTTGTGGACACTCATCCTTCTGCATCCTGCTCAAAGGCTGTGCACCCTTCCTTGGAACCTCTCTCTCTCTGGTCTCCCCAGCCCTGAGTACATCCCCTCTCTACCAACCACAGAGTTAAAGTTACCTCTGCTTTTGTGAGGGTAAGAACTATGCTTCTCACTTTTTTTTTTTCTGAGACACATTCTCGCTTTGCCACCCAGGCTGTAGTACAGTGGCATGATTACAGCTTACTGTAGCCTCAACCTCCCAGTCTCAAGCAATCCTCCTACCTCAACCTCCTGAGTAGTTGGGACTATAGGCACATGCCACCACGCTTGGGCAATTTTTGTATTTTTTATAGAGATGAGCTTTTTCCATATTGCCCAGGCTGGATTCAAACTCCTGGGCTCAAGTGATCCTCCTGCCTGGGCCTCCCAGTGTGCTGGGATTATTAGGTGTGAGCCACTGTGCCCAGCACTTTTCATGTCTTACCCCCACCTCTTTAATCCTAGAGACTGGCATTTGTATTTCTGAATGAGTGGACTATATCTCAGGTTTTCCTTTTATAGGCATATTGTAAAGCATCATTCTAAAGCCTTATGGGAGATGTAGCTTCTAAAACTGAGCTTGAGCATTTTTTTTTCTTAGGTGATGAGATTAGTGGAGATGCTGGGCTCTTGTGTAGTCCTGCCACACACAGACAGGGTCCCAGTGGACTCATGTCTTGTCTCACTGAATCTCATGCAAGGCAGGCTACGTTAAGGTAAGGCTCTGATCAGGAGATGCTCAACCCATGTCGTCACAGTGTGCTAGAGGTGGAAGGGCCTCATAGAGGTCACCAGTGTCACCTTAGTTTACTAGAAAAAGAGATTGAAGCTAAAAAAGATTGAGCGATGCTCAAGGAAACACAACAAGCTATTATCATAACTGAAATTTGCACCTGAATGCCCCCACACTCCAGTGGCAGGCCATTGCTCTTTATGTCCAGCCCTGCCTCTGCTATGGTACTTTCTCAGCCACTCAGCAACCACAGGTGGGCAGGCAGAGGCCACCAAGCTAAGACTCTCTTACTCCAAATGGGAACAAGTGGATATGGAAACTTGACCATGGTATTTTTTTCTAAACTGTGGCTCTGTCACAGCAGGCTGACACCTCTTCCTCTCTAGTTTGGTTTTGCCTCCCCTGGGTTCTTACATATGCTTTCTCTAGTTTGGTTTTGCCTCTTCTCCATCTCACTACTCCTTGCTCCCTTAGCATTTGGGTATCTCAGGAACAAGGATTTAATATGTGTGTGTGTGTGCACGTGTGTGTATATATGTGTATTTCTTAATGCTTATTCAGGAAAGGTCATTACATTAAAGGTTTAAGGAGGCAAAGTACAAAGGAAATCCAATAATCTATAATAAACATCCTGTGTAACTTTCACATCGGATATTCATGTATGCATTTGTATATGTATAGAAATTTTGAATAGGGGTATTTATGCCAACACATGGGTAAATGAGGTATGAAATAAGATTGGGAGTGGAGGGAGATGTTGAACTAGAAGGTACCTAACAATGTTTTAAGGAAAAATTTTTGTGATTCTTTTAAGTGATGGAATCCAGTAGGAAAAAAACCTAAAAGTTTTCACTAGAGCAGTTTGATGGTTTTTCTTTTGGTTAAAATGGAAATAAAAACTAGGCCAAACACTTTTTTTGTGGGAGTGGGGTGGTACATGAGCTTGGGGTGTTTATCAGTTTTATTCATGGCAGCGACATGTTCCCTCTCCTCTCTTATAAACACTCCCTATACTCATTTATTAGCATAACATAAAGGACCTCCAGTGAAAGCTTGCCCTTTGGTCTCTGACATAGAGAGATCATCACAGCACTCCTCCACACAGAGGGAACACTTAATACACACTGAGATCCTTGATTGTCTTCCTTGGTCCTCATCAGGGTCCAGCATTAAAAGCAATTGAACACATTTCCAGAGTGTGCCTTCCAGTGTCCAAAATTAGTGTCACAACTAAGTTTACATTTGTGACAAGATCAAATGTTATAGGATTTATAATAATTAATTATAATTACGTATAGCTAATATCTTCAGACAAATTGGGTAAGATGTGTTTAAAGGGTTCAAAAGGAAAACAGAAAAAACCCAACTTTAAGAACCTAAAATAGTCCCATAATTTACACAAGATTACACAATTGATAAATGCTTAATAGAAATTAGAAATGTCCTTTGAATATTAAAATATTCTTTAAAAGTTTAATTATGGTCCTATAAGAGAACATATATGAGAATGGTTAAAAAATATCTTAAAATTTCAGAGATAGGCAAAAATGCAAACAGAGCTTAAGAACAGTTCTAAAGACATTAAAAAAGGCACTAAGAGTTCAACAATCTGATTATTTGATTTGAGCATCAGGTGAATGGGTTTTAGGAGGAAAGGCAAGACTGAAAAACTCTCTCAAGTGTACAGATGAAAAGCTATGAATGTATTGCTACTTACATTTGACATTTCTTTCTTTTCTTTCTTTTTTTTCTTTTTTTTTAGATGGTGTCTTGCTCTGTCACCCAGGCTAGATTGCAGTGGTGTGATCTCAGCTCACTGCAGCCTCCTCCTCCTGGGTTCAAGTGATTCTCGTGCTTCAGCCTCCCGAGTAGCTAGGATTATAGCATGTGCCACCATGCCTGGCTAATTTTTGTATTTGTAGTAGAGATGGGGTTTTCATCATGTTGGCCAGGCTGGTCTTGAACTCCTGAACTCAGGTGATCTGTCTCCTTGGCCTCCCAAAGACCTGGGATTACAGGCATGAGCCACTGCACCTGGGTGTATTTGACATTTCTTTTGATAATTCTTTTGCTTGTCTTCCATCTGTCCCCCCTTTCATTTCTCGACAGGCAATATCAAACCTTCAACATCCTCTATGCCTCTACCAACTTCCAGTGGTTGTAGTAGGAAAAAAAAAACGGCCCCCTAAAAAGGTCCACATTATAATCCCTGATCATGTGAATGTGTTAGGTTATGTTATAGCAAAAGGGAATTAAAGTTGTAGATAGAATTAAGGCTGCTAATCACGTGACTTTGAAAAGGTGAGACTGATCCTTATAAGTGGAAGAGGGAGACCCATGAGACAAAACCACAGAGAAGGCAATATGAGAAGGCCTTGGCCTCATGTTACTGGCTGTGAAGATGGAGAAATGGGGTCATGAGTCAAGAAATGTGAGTAGTTCTGAAATTGGAAAGGCAAGAACACAGATTCTGTCTCAGATCCCCAATGAAGAGATTCAGACTTGCCAACACCTTGCTTTAAACCCAGTGAGATCCATGATAAATTTCTCACCTATAGACCTGTAAATAATAAATGTATTGTTTCAAGTCACTATGTTCGTGGCAACTTGTTAGAGTAGCAAAAGTAAATAAATATAGTGGTCTTCAAATATTTTTGCTAAGATAATGCAAAAAAATTTTTATTTTTTGAGACAGGGTCTTGCTCTGTCACCCAGGCTGGTATGCAGTGGTGCAATTATGGCTTGCTGCAACCTCCACATCTGCTCCAGCGACCCTCCCACCTTAGCCTCTTGAGTAGCTGCAATTACAGGTGTGCACCACCATGTCTGGCTTTTTTTTTTTTTTTTTTTTTTTTTTTTTTTTGTAGAGATGAGGTTTTACCATGTTGCCCAAGCATCAAAGAAATTTTGAACAAACACATACCTCTTCAAGTTTTCATGCAAATATCTAAAAATGTTTCAACATAAGTTTAAATAGTTGAAAAGGATATGATTTTAGTGCATAGATATATTGTGTTTAAAACCTAAACCTAAAAGAAAAAGAAGGAATAAAAAAAGGCTTACAAGGTTTATAAACCAGCATCGAAGGAACAAATATTTGAGCTACAGGAATTAAAGAAGGAGAAGAGAGAAACAAAGGGTTAGAAAACTTATTTAAAGAAATAATAGCAGAACACATTTCCAACTTGGAGATATAAATATCTAGGAAGAGGAAAGTCAAAAATGTCCAATCAGGCTGGGCGCGGTGGCTCACGCCTGTAATCCCAGCAGTTTGGGAGGCCATGGTGGGTGGATCACGAGGTCAGGAGATCAAGACCATCCTGGTTAACGTGGTGAAACCCCGTCTCTACTAAAAATACAAAAAATTAGCCAGGTGTGGTGGTGGGCACCTGTAGTTCCAGCTACTCAGGAGGCTGAGGCAGGATAATGGCATGAACCTGGGAGGCGGAGCTTGCAGTTGAGCCGAGATCGCACCATTGCACTCCAGCCTGGGTGACAGAGAGAGACTCCATCTCAAAAAAAAAAAAAAGTCCAATCGGATTTAATCCAATTCCAATACCACACCAAGATATATTAAAATTGAATTGTAAAATATCAAAGACAAAAGAGAGGATCCCAAAAGCAGCAAGAGAAAACAAGCAAGTCACATATAAAGGAGGTCCAATAAAGCTAGCAACAGACTTCTCAACAGAAGCCTTACAAGCCAGGATAGAGGAGGATGATATATTCTGAGTGCTTAAGAAAAAAAGAAAAAAAACCTGTCAACCAAGAATACTGTACCCGGCAAAGCTATCCTTCAGAAATGAAAGATAAAAGCCTTTCTCAGACAGACAAAAGCTGAGGGAGTTCATCACCCCAGACCAGTCTTAAGAAAGGTTAAAGTGACTAATTAGCATCCCTTTCTTCCAGTTTAAAGAACACGAGAATAGTAAGTCCTTACCCGCCAATAATTACCTGGCATATCCAATCAAAAGACACAGAGTGACTTAGTAGATTAAAAAAAGGACCCAACTATATGCTACTTACAAGAGACTCACTTCAAACTTAAGTGCACACATAGACTGAAGCAAAGGGATAGAAAAAGATATTCTATGCAAATATAAACCAAAAGAGAGCAGGAGTAGTTATACACATATCAGATAAAACAGAGAGTTAAAAGCTGTAAAAAGAAACAAAGGAGGTTATTATATAATGATAAAGGGGTCAATTCAGGAAAAGGGTATAACAATTATAAATATATATACACCCAACATCAGAACACCTAAATATATAAAGCAAATATTAATAGATCTGAAGAGAGAGATTTTTATAAAATAGTAACAGACATCAACAACCCACTTTCAGCAATGAATAGATTATCCAGCCACAAGACATTAATATAGAAACATTGAAAGTAAATGACCCTATAGACCAAATGGACCTAAAAGACATATACAGAACACTGCATCCAACAGCTGCAGAATACACATTCTTCTTAATTGGCATGGCACATTCTCCAGGATAGATCAGATGGATCATATGGTAGGCCACAAAATAAGTCTTAATAAATTTAAAGATTGAAATTGTATCAGGCATCTTTTCTGACCACACTGGTATAAAATTAGAAATCAGTAACAGAAGTTTTGGAAAATTCAAAAATTAATCAATATGCTCCTGAATAACCAATGGGTCAAAGAAGAAATTGAAAGGGAAATTAAAAAACATCTTGAGACAAGTGAAAATAAATGAACAATATATAAAAGCTTCTGAAACACAGCAAAAGCAGTTCTGAAAGGGAAGTCTATGGCAATGAATGCCTACCTCAAAAAAGAAGAAAAATCTCCAAAAAACTACACTACCCCTCAAGGAACTAGAAAAAGGAGAAAAAACTAAGCCCCAAAATTAGTCAAAGGAAGGAAATAATGATCAGAGCAGAAATAAATAAAATAGAGACTAGAAAAACAATAGAAAAGATCAAGGAAGATAAAAGCTAATTTTTTAATCCTTTCCCCATCTGCCTCAAGAAAATTTGCCAGTGGCACTTGCAGCTGCAGAGTTTATCCAGAAATAACTGCCATGACATATCTTGCTTTTATTGTTATTTTTGCATTACTCTACTATATCAACTTTGGAAACAAAAGACATCATCCTATTTTAGCAGTGATTTTCCATTTACAAAATATGGTAATTCTCAATTGCTGAAAATACCTAATCCTAGAAAAGATAGCATTACTACACATGATGTTAGTGTCATTTTCAGTTTTTATTTGATGAATCAGATTTTTCTAAAATAGATGATTCTGATGATTCAGAAGATTCTGATGTTAGTTCTGTTTAGAAATAACTCCAAGAAAAGTTTTTGTATTTCATTTTCACATTGAAAATTAGTCACATTTACTTCAGCCTCAAAGAGGGTACTTATGTAAAATTAAATGAGTGCTGGTAGCAAGTGGTACTTTTTTTTCCTAATTGAGCAAAGGGTTAAAAAGAGAAGCAAAATTGACAAATCTTTAGCTAGATTAAGAAAAAAAACCTGAGGACTCAAAATGAGTAAGAGGGAGAGATCACAACTGATATCACAGAAATACAAAAAATTATAAAAGACTACTCTGTATAATTATATCTCAACAGATTAGATAGCCTGAAACGAATGAATAAATTCTTACACACATTCAACCTACTATGAAATAGAAAATCTGAACACATCAATAACAAGTAAGACTGAATCAGTAATATAAAGTGTTCCCTCAATGAAAAACCCATACCTTGATGGATTCCTAACTGAATTCTGACAATCACTTGAAGAAAACCTAATTCCAATCCTTCTCAAACTCTTCCAAAATATTGAAGAAGAGGAAATATTTCCAAACTTTTTACAAGGCCAACATTACCCTGATAGTAAGGCCAGACAAGGATACTACAAACAATAAAATTACAGGTCAATATCTCTGATGAACATGAATGTGAATAAATATGGTACATCAGGAGAGCTGTCAAGATGGTCAAATAGGAACAGTTCAGGTCTGTAGCTCCCAGCGAGATTGATGCAGAAGGTGGGTGATTTCTGCATTTCCAACTGAGATACACAGTTGATCTCACTGGGACTGGTGGGACAGTGGGTGCAGCCCACGGAGGGCAAGCTGAAGCAGGGTGGGGTGTGGCCTCATCCGGGAAGCTCAAGGGGTTGGGGGATTTCCCTTCCCTAGTCAAAGGAACTTGTGAGAGACTGTATCAGGAGGAATGGTACAATCTGGCCCAGATACTGTGCTTTTCCATTGGTCTCCACAACCAGCAGACCAGGAGATTCCCTCTGGTGCCTGGCTTGGTGGGTACCACCCTCACAGAGCCTAGCAAGCTAAGATCCACTGGCTTGAAATTCTTGCTGCTAGCACAGCAGTCTGAGGTGGAACTGGGATGCTTAAGCTTGGTGGGGGGAGGGGCACCTGCCAATGCTGAAGCTTGAGTAGGCTGTTTTACCCTCACAATGTAAACAAAGCTGCTGGGAAGTTTGAACTGGGTGGAGACCACCGCAGCTCAGCAAGACCAACTGCCTCTCTAGATTCCTCCTCTCTAGGCAGGGCATCTCTGAAAAAAAGGCAGCAGCCCCAGTCAGGGACTTATAGATAAAACCCCCATCTCCCTAGGACAGAGCACATGGGGGAAGGAGCAGCTGTGGGCACAGCTTCAGCAGACTTAAACATCCCTGCCTGACAGCTCTGAAGAGAGCAGTGGATCTCCCAGCACAGTGTTCAAGCTCTGATAAGGAACAGACTGTGTCCTCAAGTGAGTCCCTGACCCCTGTGTATCCTGACTGGGAGACACCTCCTAGTAGGGACCAAAAGACCCCATATACAGGAGACTTCTGGCTGGCATCTAGCAGGTGCCCCTCTGGGATGAAGCTTCCAGAGGAAGGAACAGCCAGCAATCTTTGTTGTTCTTCAGGCTCTGCTGGTGATACGTAGGCAAACAGGGTCTGAAATGGACCCCCAGCAAACTCCAGCAGACCTGCAGCAGAGGGGCCTGACTGTTAGAAGGAAAACTAACAGAAGGGAATAGTAACATCAACATCAACAAAAAGGATGTCCATTCAGAGACCCCATCCAAAGGTCACCAATAGGAAAGACCAAAGATAGGTAAATCCATGAAGATGCGGAGAAACCAGTGCAAAAAAGCTGAAAATTCCAAAAACCAGAATGCCTTTTCTCCTCCAAAGGATCACAACTTGCCAGCAAGGGAACAAAACTGGATGGAGAATGAGTTTGACAAATTGCCAGAAGTAGGCTTCAGAAGGTGGGTAATAACAACCTCCTCTGAGCTAAAGGAGCATGTTCTAACCCAAAGCAAGGAAGCTAAGCACCTTGAAAAAAAGGTTAGAGGAATTGCTAACTAGAATAACCAGTTTAGATAAGAACATAAATGACCTGATGGAGCTGAAAAACACAGCATGAGAACTTCGTGAAGCATACACAAGTATCAATAGGTGAATTGATCAAGTGGAAGAAAGGATATCAGAGAGTGAAGATCAACTCAATGAAACAAAGTGAGAAGACAGCATTAGAGAAAAAAAGAGTGAAAAGAAATGAACAGAGCCTCCAAGAAATAAGGTCTTTGTGAAAAGACCAAATCTACGTTTGATTGGTGTTCCTGAAAGTGATGGGGAGAATGGAACCAAGTTGGAAAACACACTTCAGGATATTATCCAGGAGAACTTCCCCAACCTAGTAAGGCAGGCCAACATTCAAATTCAGGAAATACAGAGAACACCACAAAGATACTCCTTGAGAAAAGCAACCCCAAGACACATAATTGTCAGATTCACCAAGGTTGAAATGAAAGAAAAAATGGTAAAGGCAGCCAGAGAGAAAGGTCAGGTTACCCACAAAGGGAAGCCCATTAGACTTACAGTGGATCTCTCGGCAGCAACCCTACAATCAAGAAGAGAGTGGGGGCAATATTCAACATTCTTAAAGAAAAGAATTTTCAACCCAGATTTTCAACCCAGCCAAACTAATCTTCATAAGCAAAGAAGAAATAAAATCTTTAACAGACAAGCAAATGCTGAGAGATTTTGTCACCACCAGGACTGCCTTACAAGAGCTCCTGAAGGATGAACTAAACATGGAAAGGAACAACTGGTACCAGCCACTGCAAAAACATACGAAATTGTAAAGACCATCAACACCATGAAGAAACTACATCAACTAATGGGCAAAATAACCAGCTAGCATCATGATGACAGGATCAAATTGATACATAACAGTATTAATCTGAAATGTAAAGGGGCTAAATGCCCCAATTAAAAGACAAAGACTGGCAAATTGGATAAACAGTCAAGATTCCTCTGTGTGCTGTATTCAGGAGACCCATCTCATATGCAAAGACACACATAGGCTCAAGATAAAGGGATGGAGCAATATTTACCAAGTGAATGGAAAGCAAAAAAAAGCCTGATAAAACAGACTTTAAACCAACAGAGATAAAAAAAAAAGCCCAAGAAGGGCATTACATAATGGTAGAGTGATCAATGCAACAAGAAGAGCTAACTGTCCTAAATATATATGCACCCAATACAGGAGCAACCAGATTCATAAAGCAAGTTCTTAGAGACCTACAAAAAGACTTAGACTCCTACACAAGAATAGTGGGAGACTTTAACATCCCACTGTCAATATTAGACAGATCAATGAGACAGAAAATTAATAAGGATATCCAGGACTTGAATTTAGCTCTGGACCAAGTGGACCTAACAGACATCTACAGAACTCTCCACCCCAACTCAACAGAATATACATTCTTCTCAGCACCACACTGCACTTACTCTAAAATTGACCACATAATTGGAAGTAAAACACTCCTCAGCATATGCAAAAGAATGGAAATCATAACAAACAGTCTCTCAGACCACAGTGCAATTAAATTAGAACTCAGGATTAAGAAACTCACTCAAAACCACACAACTACATGGAAACCGAACAACCTGCTCCTGAATGACTATTGGGTAAATAACAAAATTAAGGCAGAAATAAAGATGTTTTTCAAAACCAATGAGAACAAAGACACAACATACGAGAATCTCTGGGACACAGCTAAAGCAGTGTGCAGAGGGAAATTTATGGCATTGAATGCCCACAAGAGAAAGCAGCAAAGATCTAAAATTGACAGCCTAGCATTAAAATTGAAAGAACTAGAGAAGCAAGAGCAAACACATTCAAAAGCTAGCAGAAGACAAGAAATAACTAAGATCAGAGCAGAACTGAAGGAGATAGAGACACAAAAACCCCTTCAAAAAAATCAATGAACCAGGAGCTGGTTTTTTGAAAAGATCAACAAATTAGATAGACTACTAGCCAGACTAAGAAGAAAAGAGAGAAGAATCAAATAGATGCAATAAAAAATAATAAAGGGGATATCACCACTGATCCCACAAAAATACAAGGTAACCATCAGAGAATACATAAACACCTCTACACAAATAAACTAGAAAATGTAGAAAAAATGGGTACATTCCTGGACACATACACCCTCCCAAGAATATACCAGGAAGAAGTCAAATCCCTGAATAAACCAATAACAAGTTCTGAAAATTGGGGCAGCAATTAATTACCTACCAACCAAAAAAAAAGTCCAGGACCAGATGGATTCATAGCTGAATTCTACCGGAGGTACAAAGAGGAGCTGGCACCATTCCTTCTGAAACTATTCCAAACAATAGAAAAAGAGGGAATCCTCCCTAACTCATTTTATGAGGCCAGCATCATCTGATAACAAAACCTGGCAGAGACACAACAAAAAAAGAAAATTGTATGCCAATATCAGTGATGAACATCAATGTGAAAATCCTCAAGAAAATACTGGCAAACTGAATGCAGCAGCCCATCAAAAAGCTTATCCACCATGATCAAGTCGGCTTCATCCCTGGGATGCAAGTCTGGTTCAACATACACAAATCAATAAAGATAATCCATCACATAAACAGAACCAACTACAAAAACCACATGATTATCTCAATAGATGCAGAAAAGGCCTTCGATAAAGTTCAACACCAATTCATGCTAGAAAGTCTCAATAAACTAGGTATTGATGGAACATATCTCAAAATAATAAGAGACATTTATGACCAACCCACAGCCGATATCATACTGAATGGGCAAAAACTGGAAACATTCCCTTTGAAAACCGGCACAAGACAAGGATGCCCTCTCTCACCACTCCTATTCAACATAGTATTGGAAGTTCTGGCTGGGGCAATGAGGCAAGATAAAGAAATAAAGGGTATTCAATTTGGAAAAGATGAAGTAAAATTGTCTCTGTTTGCAGATGACCTGACTGTATATTTAGAAAACCCCATTGTCTCAGCCCAAAATCTTAAGCTGATAAGCAACTTCAGCAAAGTCTCAGGATACAAAATCAATGTGCAAAAAATCACAAGCATTCCTATACGCCAATAATAGATAAACAGAAGGCCAAATCATGAGTGAACTCCCATTCACAATTGCTACAAAGAGAATAAAATACCTAGGAGTACAACTTACAAGGGATGTGAAGGACCTTATCCAGGAGAACTACAAACTACTGCTCAAGGAAATAAGAGGACACAAACAAATGGAAAAACATTACATGCTCATGGATAGGAAGAATCAATATCATGAAAATGGCCACGCTGTCCAAAGTAATTTATAGATTCAATGCTATCCCCATCAAGCTACCACTGACTTTCTAAACAGAACTAGAAAAAACTACTTTAAATTTCATATGGAGCCAAAAAAGAGCCCACATAACCAAGACAATCCTAAGCAAAAAGAACAAAGCTGGAGACATCATGCTACCTGACTTCAAACTATACTACAATGCTACAGTAACCAAAACAGCATGGTACTTGAACAAAAAGAGACCTATGGAACAGAATAGAGGCCTCAGAAATAACGCCACACATCTACAACCATCTGATCTTTGACAAACCTGACAAAAACAAGCAATGGGGAAAGGATTCCCTATTTAATAAATGGTGTTGGGAAAACTGGCTACCTGTATGCAGAAAGCTAAAACTTTACAAAATTAACTCAAGATGGATTAAAGACTTCAATGTAACACCTAAAGCCATAAAAACCCTAGAAGAAAACCTAGGCAATACGTTTTAGGACATAGTCATGGGCAAAGACTTCATGACTAAAACACCAATTGGCAACAATGGCAGCAATGGCAACAATAGCCAAAATAGACAAATGGGATCTAATTAAACTAAAGAGCTTCTGCACAGCAAAGAAACTATCATCAGAGTGAACAGGCAACCTACAGAAGGGAGAAAATTTTTGCAATCCATCCATCTGACAAAGGGCTAATATCCAGAATCTACAAAGAACTTAAACAAATTTACAAGAAAAAAACAACCCCATCAAAAATTAGGCAAAGGATATGAACAGACACTTCAAGAGAGTTATGCAACTAACAAACCTATGAAAAAATGCTCATCATCACTGGTCATTAGAGAAATGCAAATCAAAACCACAATGAGATACCATCTCATGCCAGTTAGAATGGTGATCATTAAAAAGTCAGGAAACAACAGATGCTGGAGAGGATGTGGAGAAATAGGAATGCTTTTACACTGTTGGTGGGAGTGTAAATTAGTTCAACCATTGTGGAAGACAGTGTGGCAATTCCTCAATGATCTAGAACTAGAAATACCATTTGACCCAGCAATCTCATTACTGGGTATATACCCAAATGATTATAAATCATGCTACTATAAAGACACATGCACAGTTATGTTTAATGTAGAAATATTCACAATAGCAAAGACGTGGAACCAACCCAAATGCCCATCAATGTTATACTGGATAAAGAAAACGTGGCATATATACACCATGGAATACTAAGCAGCCATAAAAAAGAATGAGTTCATGTTTTTTACAGGAACATGGATGGAGCTGGAAACTATCATTCTCAGCAAACTAACACAGGCATAGAAAACCAAACACCACTTGTTCTCACTCATAAGTGGGAGTTGAACAATGAGAACACATGTGCACAAGGAGGGGAACATCTCACACTGGGGCCTGTCAGGGGATGGCAGGCAAGGGGAGGGATAGCATTAGGAGAAACACCTAATGTAGATGATGGGTTGATGGTTGCAGCAAACCACTGTGGGACATGTATACCTGTGTAACAAAACTGAACACTCTGCACATGTACCCCAGAACTTAAAGTGTAAAAAAAAGAAAAAAAAGTATAATAAAAAAAGAAATAATATACTTTATAATAAAGTATAATAAAAAAAGAAAAAAAATATTACACATCACATTAACAGAATAGAATGCAGGTCAAAAAATACAATCTACAAAATATAATAGATGCAGCAAAAGCATTTGAAAAAATTCAACATATTTTCATGGTAACTGTTAACAAAAAACTTTTAACAAGTTTAGAAGGAATGCACCTCAACACAATAAAGACCACATTTGACAAGCCCATTGAAAACATTATACTCATTGGTGGAAAGTTGAAAGCTTTTCCTTTAAGATCAGGAACAAGACAAGGATCCCTCTCATCATCTCTTTTCAACATACTATTGAACTTCTAGCCAGAGAAATTAGACAAGAGAAAGAAATAAAAGAATTCAAATTGGAAAAAAAGAAGGTAAATTGGATCCGTTTGCCAGTGAGATGATCTTATATAGAGAGAACACTAAGAATTCCCTTAAAAACTAATTAGTTAGAATAAATTCAGTAAAGTTGCAGAATAGAAAAATCAACATACAAAGAATCAGTAGCATTTCTATACATTAGGAATGATCAATCCAAAAAAAAAAAAAAGGAAAATGAAAAAAATCCTATTTGTGATAGCTACCAAGAATAAAATACATAGAAATAAATTTACCCACGGAGGTGAAAGACATGTATACTGAAAACTCTAAAATACTGGTGAAATAAATTGATGAATACATAAATAAATGAAAAGATATCCCATATTCATGGAATTGAAGAATATTGTTAAAACATTCATACTATCCAAAGTGACCTACAGTGAATGCAATTGCTATCACAATTCCAATAACATTTTTCACAGAAATAGAAATAAATCCTAAAATTTATATGAAACCAGAAAAGACTCCTAATAATCAAAGTAATGTTGAGCAAAAAGAACAAAGCTTGACGTATTGTACTATACTATCTGACTTGAGACTATACCACAAAGCCACAGTAATCAAAACAACATGGCACTGGCATAAAAACAGATACATAGACCAATGGAACACAACAGCAAGAACAGAAATATAACTACACGTTTACAGTCAATGGATTTTTAATAAAGGTGCCAAGAAGAAACAATAAGGAAACATAATATTTTCAATGAATGGTCTTAGAAAAACTGTATTTCCACATGCAGAATAATTAAATTAGAAAAAAATATTACAGGCCCAATCTCATACCATATATGTTTTCCTCCAAGATGAGAGATGAGGCTTTTAGTGAGCCTCAACCACTTGTAAATAACAAGGTAGTGCATAAAGAACAACTCTGTGAAAAATAACTGCATTTTTGATAAGGAAAATGGGAATCCACTGGAATTGTGTAGAACACTACAGACCCAGGGGAGGAGAATGTGGGCAAACAGCTCCTGTGATGGTGTCCAGCTGATAAAAGTGAGTAAATTTCCATTAAGTGAGAGATAAAGAGTGCCTCTCTCTGTGACTCACCCTTCCATTGAGAATCCAAGCAACCCAGAGGCTTGGAAGTGCTGAGAGAGAAAGACTTGGAAAAGCTGCAGGCATTTTCCTGTATCTGTGACTAAGAGCAAAATGTCATTTGTTTTTTTTTTTTTTTTTAATAAGATTTAGTCTTGCTCTGATGCCTGGGCTGGAGTACAATGGTGTGATCTTGGCTCACTGCAACCTCTACCTCCCAGGTTCAAGTGATTCTCCTGCCTCAGCCTCCTGAGTAACTGGGACTACAGGTGCCCACCACCACGCCTGGCTAATTCTTGTATTTTTTCGTAGAGACAGGGTTTCACCATGTTAGCCAGTCTTGTCTCAAACTTTAGTTCACAACTGATCTGCCCCCACTCGGCCTCCCAAAGTGCTGGGGTTACAGGCATAATCCACCACACCTGGCCCAAGATGCCATTTTTAATCTGAGTACACACAAAGTTAACCATTCTTTGGCAACCTGGCAGCATGGCCATACAGGCATTATAGTCTCAGGCCAAAGACTGAGGTGTTTGTTCTGGAGCCAGGTAGGTGCCTCCACAGCCAGAAATGTGGAAAGCATCTCAGCAGAAGGTGCTGGAATTGTGTTCTCGCTGGTCACAGTCCTGGGGTGGGAGGACAGCTGCTATGGCTACAGTTTCTCCCCGGTGATGAGACCTGCAGCTATAGCCAGCATGGAGATCGAAACTGGTCATGTGTGTCATTGCTGGGTGCCCAGCCTGCTTCCCTGAGATCGTGGTGCAGTGGGACCCTGTATTAGTCTGTTCTTACACTGCTATAAAGAAATACTTTATAAAATACCCAGCCAACTTGGTAACTCATGAAGAAAAGAGATTTAATTGGCTCACAGTTCTGCAAGCTGTACAGAAAACATGGCTGGGAAGGCCTCAGAAAACTTACAATCATAGCAGAAGGCAAAGAGGAAGCAGGTCTGTATTACATGACTGGAGCAGGAGGAAGGAAGGGAGGAGAGGCGTTACACAGTTTTAAGCAAACAGATCTCGTGAGAACTTACTATCATGAGTACAGCACCAAAGGGGAAATATGTTCTCATAATCCAATCACCTCCCACCAGGTGCCTACTCCAATGTTGGGATTATAATTTGACATGTGATTTGGGTGGAGACACAGACCCAAACCATATTATTCCATCCCTAGCCCCTCCAATATCCCATGTCCTTCTCACATTTCAAAATACAATAATGCCTTCCAAAAGCTACCCCAAAGCCTTAACTCATTCCAGCATTAACTCAAAAGTCCAAAGTCCAAAGCCTCATCTAATACAAGGCTAGTCCCTTCCACCTATGAGCCTGTAAAATCAAAAACAAATTAGTTACTTCATGGATACAATGGGGGTACAGGCATTGGGTAAATACTCCCTTTCCAGATGGGAGAAACTGGGGAGAAGAAAGGGCTACAGGCACTATGCAAATCTGAAACCCAGCAGGGCAGTTATTAAATCTTAAAGCTCCAAAATAATCTCTTTCGACTCTATGTCTCACACTCAGGGCACACTGGTGTGAAGGGTAGGCTCCCAAGGCCTTGGGCAGCTCCACCTGAGGCTCTACAGGGTACAGTCCCTGAGGCTGCTTTCAGGGGTGGCATTTAGTGCCTGTGTCTTTTCCAGGTGTAGGGTACAAGCTGTCAGTGTATCTAGCCCTCTTCCCACAGGTCCAGTAGGCAGTGTCCCATTGGGGACTCTGTGTGGAGGCTTCTGCTTGGTGTTCCAGGCTTTTCCATACATCTTCTGAAATCTAGGCAGAGGCTCCCAAACCTCAACTTTTACAGTCTGTGCAGCTGCAGGCTTAACACCACATAGAAGCTGCTAAGGTTTGTGGCTTGAATCCTCAGAAGCAGCAGCCTGAGATGTACCTAGGATCCTTTGAGCCACAGCTGGAACTGGAGCAGCCAGGATGCAGGGAGCAGTGTTTTGAGGCTGCACAGGAAAGCAGGGCCCTGTGTCTGGCCCATGAAACCATTCTTCCTCCTTAGGCTTTGGGGCCCGTGATTGGAGGGGCTGCTGTGAGGTCTCTGATGTGTCTTCAAGGGCTTTTTTTCCCCATTGTCTTGGCTACTAGTTCTTGCCTTCCTTTTAGTTATGCAAATTTCTTCAGCTGGCTTGAATTTCTTCCCAGAAAATGGGTTTTTCTTTTCTACTGCATGGCCAGGCTGCAAGGTTTTCAAACATTTATGATCTGCTTCCCTTTTACATATAAGTTCCAGTTTCAGATCATTTCTTTGCTCATGCATATGAGCATAGGCTTTTAGAAGCAGCCAGGATTTAGCAGTTCAGGTTTACCTTGAACACTTTGCTGCTTAGAAATGTCTTCCACCAGGTACTCTAAATCATCTCTCTCAAGTTCAAAATTCTACAGATCCCTAGAGCTGGGGCACAATGCCACCAATCTCTGCTAAAGCATATCAAGAGTGACCTTTACTCCAGTTCCCAATAAGTTTCTCATTTCCATCTGAGACCTCCTCATCCTAGACTTCACCATCCATATCACTATCTGCATTTTGGTCACAACCATTCAGCAAATCTCTAGGAATTCCAAACTTTCCCTCATCTTCCTGTCTTCTTCTGAGCCCTTTGAACTGTTCAAACTTCTGCCCATTACCCAGTTCCAAAGCCACTTCCACCACATTTTCAGGTATCTTTATAGCAATGCCCCATTCCTGGTACCAATTTTCTATATTAATCTGTTCTTGCATTGCTATAAAGAAATACCTGAGACTGGGTAATTTACAAAGAAAGAGGTTTAATTGATTCACAGTTCTGCAGGCTGTAGAGGAAACGTTGCTGGGAAGGCCTTGGTAAACTTACAATCATAGTGGAAGGTGAAGGGGAGGCAGGCATGTTTTACATGGCTGAAGCAGGAGGAAGAGAGAGAGAGGGGAGGTGTCGCACACTTTTAAACAACCAAATCTCGAGATAACTCACTCACTGTCATGAGAAGAGCACCAAATGGGAAATATGCCTTCAAGATTTACTTACCTCCCACCAAGCTCCACCTCCAATATTGAGGATTACAGTTCGACTTGAGATTTGGGTGGGAACACAGACCCAAACCATATTAGAATCTGGTGTGCTCCACCCCCCAGGTAAATCTCTAGACATTTGAAGTACTCCTTCACCTGGATCAGCAGGTGGATCTTCTTGTGTGTAGATCATGGTGCAGTAGGGCCCTCTCTACTCCACACCTAAACATTTTGGACATCATCCAAATTGCCAGGCATTTGAAGCACTTGTTCAAAAGAACTAGCAGCTTCAGCCATGCTGCCCTTCCTGCACAAAGATCCTGGTGCAGGGGAGGCCTTTGTGCTTCATACTGAGGCAGATCATCAGGCATTTGGAGCACCTGCTCAACTGGGTGGCAACCCAAGTCACCCCATCCATTCTGTGCAGAGATGAATAAAACTGGACTCCTACCTCTCACTATATACAAAAATTAACCCAAGAAGGATTAAATATTTAAATGTAAGGCCTCAAAGTATAAGGACCCTAGCAGAAAATCTAGGAATACCATTTTATATATGAGCCTTGGGATAGAATTAGTGACTAAGTCCTCAAAAGCAATTCCAACAAAACCAAAAATTGATAAGTTGAACCTAATTAAACTAAAAGGCTTCTGAATAGCAAAAGAAAACTCTCAACAGTAAATAGACAACCTACAGAATGAAAGAAAATATTTGCAAACTATGCATATGACAAAGTCTAATATCCAGAATCCATAGAGAACTTAAACTGTTGAAAAAGCAACAAGAGCAAAACTCCATCTCAGAACAATATGTAGGCAAAAGACATGGACACTTCTCAAAAGAAGACATACAAGTGGCCAGCAGACATATGAAAAAATGCTCATCACTAAACATCAGAGAGAAATGCAAATTGAAACCACAATGAGATATTTTTTCACACCAGTTAGAATGGCTATTATTAAAAAGTGAAAAAACAACAGATTCTGGGCAAGGCTATGGAGAAAATAAAATGTTTATACATTGTTGGTGGAAATATAAATTAGTTCAGCCACCGCAGAAAGCAGTTTGGACATTTCTCAAAGAACTAAAAACAACTACCATTCCACCCAGGTTTATATCCAAAAGAAAATAAATCATTCTACCAAAAAGACACACATACTCTTATGTTCATGGAATCAACCTAGATGCCCATCCACAGTGGATTGGACAAAAAAAAAAATGTCATACATATATACCATGGAATACCATGCAGCCATAAAAAATGAAATCATGTTCTGTGCAGCAATGTGGATGCAGCTGGAGGCCATTATCCTAAGTGAATTAACACAGGAACAGAAAACCAAATACCACATATTGTCACTTATAAATGGGAGCTAAACACTTGGTAATTATGGATATAAAGATGGCAACAATAGACATGGGGGATTTCTAGTGGAGAGATGGAAGGAGTTGTCAAGGGCTGAAAAACTATCTATTGGGTACTATTCTCAGTATCTGGGTGAAAAGATCATTCATACCCCAAACCTCAGCATCACACAATATACCCAGGTAACAAACCTGCACATATACCCCCGAATCTAAAATAAAATATAAAATTATTTAAAAAATATATAGCTCAGGGAAAAATCAACTCAAAATAGATTAAGGAATTGAATGTAAACCCAGAAATTATAAAACTACAAGAAATCATAGGCAAAATCTTCATGACATTGGTCTTGGTGATGATTTTTTTTTACAGACTCCAAAGGCACAGGTAACAAAAGCACAGTTAGACAAATGGCATTACATCAAACTAAAAAACGTCTACACAGCCAAGGAAATATTCAACATGTGAAGAGACCACCTAGCAAATGAGAGAAAATATTTGACACATGAGAAGGGGTTAATATCCAAAATATATAAGTAACTCTAACAATTCAATAGCAGGAAAACAATCTGATTTTAAAATGGGCAAAGTACTTGAACAGACATTTCTCAAAAGACCAAATACAGTAAATAGGTACATGAAAAAATGCTGAACATTACTAATCAATTATAAAATGCAAATTAAAACCGCAATGATCACTTTACAAATATTAGAGTAGGTATTATTAAAAAGAAAAAAGATAAATGTTGGCAAGAATGCAGATTAACGGGAATTCTTGTACACTTGGTGGGAATGTAAATTAGTTAGAGTCATTATGAAAAACAGCATGGTGGTTCCTCAAAAACAATATACATATGTAACTACCATATGATCCAGCTATCACACTACTGGATACATATTCAGAGGACATGAAATCAGTATGCTGAAGAGATCAGCACTCTCATATTCATTGCACCATTATTCACAATAACTAAGATATGGAATCAGCCTAAGTGTTCATTAATGGATGAATGGATTTAAAAAATATCATATATATACACAATGGAATACTATTCAGTCATAAAAAAGAAGGAAATTCTGTCATTTGCAGAAACATTAATGGAACTGGAGGTCATTATATTAAATTAAATAAGCCAGGCATAAAAAGACAAATACTGCATGACCTCACTTATATGTGGAATCTAAAAAAGTTGAACTCATAGAAACAGAGAGCAGAATGGTGGTTACCGGGGCTGGGGTGGAGGAAGTTAGGGAGATGTTGGTCAGAGGACACAAAATTTCAGTGAAGAGGAGTAAATTCAGGAGATCTACCTGATGTAAAACCTGGTGACTACAGTTAATATGAACACATTATATTCTCAAAAATCACTGAGATTTTAAATATTTCCACCACAAAAAAGGATATGTGAGGTAATGCATATGTTATATTTATTTACCCTATGACATATACACATTTCAGAACCTTAGATTGAACACAAATATATGCAATATTTTTGTCAATTAAAAAAATAAATAGTGGGGGGGTGGGTGGGCAAAACAATCCCAAAACTGTAACATTGCTCTTTAAATGTAAATAGGGAAATTAAATGTTATAAAAAATTTGACATTTACCATCATCTGTTAAAAATATCAATATATATTGGAGTTCTTTAAATAGCTGAAAAATCTCCATTGTTATCTTTTCTTCTTGAAATCATATTTTTATTTCATTTTTCCTCAGAATTTTATTCCAATGAATTATTTTATGCTTAAATATATATCATTCTACAAACTTCTCTGCAATAAAAATATGTATATGAATGAAAATAATATTTTCTCAAAGACTGCATGTTTTAGTGTAAGTTATAGTAGGTTATTAATATAAATGTTATTAATAATTATCAAACCTAGAAATTGAAATTTTATGACAAGACATTGCCTTGTCAGATAGTTTTCTTTTTGTCTACTTAAATAATGTATCCATGGATAAATAGGACTTACTGATAGAATGAGACAGGATTCAGCGTTAACTATTTTTTTATATAGTAAATGAGAAATATTTATTTACATAGTAAATAAAGAATATAATTTTTATAACATCACTCAATTCTTAGAAATTCATCCAAGTCATACACTCAAATTCATAGTGATATGTTATCAAAAATTATATTTAAAAATCTAGCTATTGACCACTGTTATACCTCCCTTTAATTTTGTTGAAGACAAAAAACAGAAAAGTGCTGACTTAAAAGGATTCTTTAACCTGGCCCTTAGAATAACTTTCTCATTTCCTGGGAAATACATCAAGAAGGCTTTATCAAGGCTTTTCAATGCCTTTTTTTTTTTTTTTTTTAAATAGGGTTGCTCAGGCTGGAATGCAGTGGTGGGATCATGGCTCACGGCAAGCTTGACCTCCCAGGCTCAAGCAATCCTCTCTCCTGAGATGAAAGCCCCTTATACCAACTATACTTTCACTTAGAGGCAACTTGTTTATGGAGCTAACACTAGATGGCCATTGAGTAAAACCACTCCCCGCCAAAAAAAAAAAAAAAAAAAGAAAAGAAACCCTGGAAATTGTGCATTTTAGGACTTTTCCCATTGACTGTGAATCCAGACCTACATATTCATCTAAATTACAATTTTCCAGGTAATCTCAAAGTACCTTGGAAAGATGTGAGGTTAGAAAGAGTCACGTTCTTGAGTATTTTTATACATAGCTAGATTGGTAGTTCCATTTTATAGTTTAAGACAACTGCTCACACATTTGAAAGAACTGAACAGCGTATCTGCTTCGGAGAGGGAGAAAAAACACTAATAGTGTGAGTTTTCTAAACTTCAAGGCATTATATCCTAATTGCTCTGGAAACATTTTATCCTATTTCCATACACAAGGAAATGTTTTGCTTTAAAGATACATTTTAACTGCTTTGTGGAAATTTATAGCAAGAAACAAATGAAAGACAAAAAAAAAAAAAAAAAGAAGGTATAGGGCCACCAGTAAATGTAGAACTTACAAGAAGTGAATTGACAATTTTAAACTATGTATAATAAAATCAATAACATATTTCTATTAAGTTAACCTAAATCTAATAAACACATAATAGAAATGAATGAGCAGAGAAGTGAGTGACAAGAGGCAACAAGCAGGAGGTTTCGTTGCTTAAATATTTTAGTAATGAGTTAATAAAATTGTTTCTTTTACATGTCTGAATAAATGTTTAATATAAAATGCTAACTTACCTTCAATATGTGTTCCTTTTATTTGAAGCTGTAACACTGGCTGACTGAGGAGCTTTTTCACCTCATCCTTGAAATCATGAACACATACACCTATGTCCTCGATGAAGCCGCAGCTGAATTGAGTTCTTCTCACGCTCTTTTCATTAAAAAAAAAAAAAAAAAATTGCAGAGGGTTGAACCTCATACTCGACTGGATTTCCCGAAATGCCTACCGCATATCTCAAATAGTCTATTCTCGAGCAAATAGAAGGGTACTCCACAGAGCCTTGCCTTGAGTTTGTTGCTTGGTAAAATAAGGCACTGAAACTTCCGCATTTTCCTGTATTCTCTCTCATTGCTTTGCTCTCATAGCATTCTCCTTAACGTGATGTGTTCCTTGGTAGTAGTCCAGAGATGGAAGAGGGGAAGTTGGTAAATGACATCACCCTCATTTCTTCTGCCCCATCCTACAAAATATCTGAATTCAGAACATCTTAACTCTCTTTTCCTGGGTTCTCCCATAGCAGAGCCTAAAACAAATGCTTGCATACGGGGAGGAGTGACACAGGTGAGTGAAGGAGGAAGCAGGAGAGCCAATAAAGGAAGCTTTATTCAGCTGGCTACTATTATAGGAGATTGGCTGCTGGATAACAGTGGATCATCAGAGAATCCTAATGAAATGTGTCTCAGGATTGTCTCTTGGTGAACAGAGGGGGAAGCCTTTATCTACCTACTGCCATGGTTCAAGGATTACTCTACAGAGTAACTTCCCACACAGTTGGGTTGCATTTGTGTGAGTTCCCACTGGTATCCACATCAGAGAAACTGAAGCCAGAAGCTTCTAGGTTGTACCTGCATGAAGTTGGTCAAAGCCTTTGAAGAACTGGACATGGGAATAAGAGGTGAGATGAAAAGGAGCGAAAGTGGTCACAAAGGAGATGGATACAGAACATAGGCTTCTAGAGCCAGGCTGTGCCCTTAACAGAAATGTGTAAGGGAAAAACGTAGGTTCATCATATGTTTTTGGTGCCTCAATCAATTCAAGAGTACTTTGCTCAAGGCTAAAATCTTGATGTGCTTCTTTGACCTGTTGGAGGTTTTTATATTCTAAGGAAATTTATCTGATTACCATTAGGGATAGATGAGGAGAAGGCCTTTCTTTTGTGAAGGGGAAAGATGGTGACTGCAAATGGAGAAGTGAGAAAGGAGAATTTTTTCAGTGCCTGAACCCAAAGTGTGTAGGTCAGTTTTAGGAGGGTTCATATGGAATTTTAGGATATGGAAATTGATCCCCTTAAGACTTTCTTGGCAGCAGATCAATATTCTACATAGGTTTACACATTCACTTTTGAAGTTATTTAAAGCTCAGGTGGAGAAATTAGCCTTCAGATTGAGGAGGCATTTCTCAATCATTTTTAGTACAAGAGAGGGCAGAGGGTTTGTGCTGTGATTCTAGCACTCAGGCTTAATGTCATGAAGCTGCCTTCCATGATCTCTGCACTCTTCTGCCACATTTCCACCAATTTGTGCTCAGCCTTCTACGTGGAATTCTCTTCGCTGTGTCTCATTCAATGTGGTGGTGATTCCAGATTCTGTCCTTGGTTCTCTTCTCTCCTTAATCTCCAGTCTCTATACTATCCCAGGACATCTCCTTCATTTTCATGGTTTTAACTGCCAGCTATACATGGATGAACACCAAATATTTATCTTCATGAATTTTCACCTAAAGCTGCAGATCTACTCATCCACATGCCTCATGGATATCCTCCTCAGGAATGTCTAAATCGAGACTGGAATTCAACATGCATCAATTCTTTATCTTCCCTGCCATGCCCAAATCTGCACTTCCTTCCCCTTACTCCCCATTCCAGTGAGCACAATCATTATCCACTCATTCCAACAGGCTAGAAAACTGAAAGGCACCCTGGACTTCCTTCTGCACTTTGCACATCAGACTCCAGTTGAGTTTATTTCTCCTTCTTCCTTCCTTCTTCCTTCTTCTTCTTTTTTTTTTTTTTTTTTTTTGAGATTGAGTCTCACTCTGTCACCCAGGCTGGAGTGCAGTGGCTCAATCTCGGCTCACTGCAACCTTCGCCTCCCAAGTTCAAGTGATTCTCCCACCTCAGCCTACCAAGTAGCTGGGATTACAGGTGTTTGCCACCATGTCTGTCTAATTTTTGTATTTTTACTAGAGACAAGGCCATGTTGGCCAGGCTGGTCTTGAACTCCTGACCTCAAGTGATCCACCCACCTTGGCCTCCCAAAGTGCTGGGATTACAGGCATGAACCGCCGTGCCTGGCCTGATTTTACTTCTTAAACACTTTTACATTCATCTACTTTTCTCCATCTTCAGTGCCACTTACTCCAGGACTCCCTTATATCTTGCATGGATCATTGTAAAAGCCTCCAAACTGGTCTTACTACTTCCATTCATTTTAACCCTCTATTCTATTCCTCAAATTGCTCCCCAAGAGAGATCTCAATAAAATTTAAATCAAATCATGTTACTCCCTTCCTGAAAATTCAATGACTTTCAAGTGCCAACAGGATAAAATTCCAACTGCTTATTATGACTTACAAGATCCTTCATGATTTAACTCTATCAGTGTTACCCAAAATAAGCAGTTATGCAAATACAGTTTTTCCACCTGGAATGCCCTTGTAAACATAATTGAATCTCATTAATGCCACACTGTGTTGAGGGGACTGTTTATCTGGTTATCCTCAATTTTGGGGGAATGGAGTCATTTTTTTAATTATGAAATATTTCAAGCACATAGGAAAGCAAAGAGAAATACTGAAAAATACCACCAAGTTTTGTAAAATCTTAAAACCTTGACATATTCCTGCAGATATATGTTCTTTTCAAGAAATAAGTCACTGCAGATACAGTCAAAGCCCCTCATTACCTCTTTCCCTTCCTACTGTGTCTCCCACTGAAGACAGTGGGGTGAGACAGTCACTCTACTGAAATTGGTGTTGATCATTTTATACTCTTACTATGTTTCTTATATATCCACAAGTTATATATAGTATTGTGTTACACATTTTAAGTTTATGTATATGATATGGTATATATCCTGCAACTTGTTCAGATGCTCAATCAATGCTTTTGAGATTTATCCAGGCTCTAATTCTGAAGTACCAGTTAATATTCTACTGTATGAATCTACCATAGTCCATTTATCCATTTTCCCATTGATGGATATTTAGATTTTTTCCAATTTTCCTCTATTATGAATAATGCTGCAGTGAACATTTTGTGTGTATCTCTTCTGTGCATATGTGAGAGGATTTTCTTAGGTTACATACCTAGGATGAAATTGCTAGTAGAAGGACATGCACAAATTAAACTTTAGTACTTATATTTCTCCAAAAGTTCTTAAAGAAAAATTTTAGTATAAATTTTCCTCCAAAGGCAGTAGAATCTGGACCCTACTACTAGTCAGGTAAAGTTCGAGTATGAATCTAGTCCAAATATTTAACTCTACTTAAGAAGATTTTTTTTCTATAGCTTCTTTTGTGCTACAATGGCAGAGCTGAGTAGTTGAACAGAGATCATATGGAACAGAGATCAAAAAGCTTAAACTATTTACTATCTTGTGTTCACTATAGAAAATGTTTGCCAACTAAGAAGAGGTTCTTAAATTAGCAAGTTTGTGAAGTTTATAAGAGGGCCTTATAGTGATTGAGTCTATATATGGTTATGAGAATTTCAGTGCGTACTATGTGTCTGTGCATGTATGAGTGCATGTGCATGTGTTTTGTTTATATAAGCAAGAAAGGAATGATGTGTTTTTCACATCAATCTCTAGCTGCTTCTTTCTGAACTGGCTTTCTTCTGAGTGTTCAGGCGCTAGGAGCCTTTTCTTTCTCTTTTCTTTTTCTTTTCTTTTCTTTTCCTTCTTTCTTTCTTTTTTTTTTTTTTTTTTTTGAGACAGAGTCTCACTCTATTGCTCAGGCTGGAGTGCAGTGACATGATTTCTGCTCACTGCAACCTCTGCCTCCTGGGTTCAATGATCCTCCTGCCTCAGCCTCCCGAATAGCTGGGATTACAGGCATGCACCACCATGACCGGCTTATTTTGTATTTTTAGTAGAGATGGGGTTTCGTCATGTTGGTCATGCTGGTGTTGAAGTTCTGACCTCAGGTGATCCGCCCACCTCAGCCTCCCAAAGTGCTGGGATTATGGGTGTGAGCCACCACAGCTGGCCTCCATTTCTTTTCATTCATGTAGTCAGTCAATAAATATTTATTGGGTGCCTATTGTACAACTGGCACTATTGTAGGTGCTGGGGGTACACCAGTGAACACAGCAGATAATGTTCTGGCCCTCAAGAACTTATATTCTGATGGGGGTAGACAGACAAATAAATATACACATATATCATGTGGCAATTTTGCAATTTAGAAAAAGCAGGGAAAGGGGAATAGAAAATGTTAGAGTCGGGGGGAGAGTTGCTGTTTTATAAAAAGTGTTCCTTGAAGACATTATTGCACAGGTGTATTATAAATATAAAGAAAGTCAGGAAGGGAATCTTGTGATTCCATGAGGTAAGACCATTTGAAGCAGAGGAAATAGTAAGTGCAAAGGTCCTGAAGTGGGGGAGCGCTTGGCACTTTTGAGGACTAGAAATGAGGTCAACATGGCTGAGGCAGAGCCAGCAGGGAGTAGGCAAATGTGATAGCAGGTGAGGTCAGGATAGTGCTGGGAGGGAACTGTTGATTTTACTCTGACTCAGGTAGGAAGTCATTGGACAGATCTGAGCAGAGGAATGCCATAATCTGATTGACGTTTTTGAACAATCATTCTGATAACAGGAATAGATAGAAGCAGGGAGGCCCATTGTGGAGGCTATTACAATATTCCCAATGAGAGATGATTGCCCTATGGACCAGGATTTTTGCAATAGAAATTCTGAGAAAGGGTCAGATTCTGGATGTATTTTGGAAGAAGAGTCAATAAGATTTGGTGCTGAGGTTGAATATGGGATGTGAGTAAAAAAGAAGACTAATGGGTGACCAAGATTTCTGACATGAATAATAAAAAATGGAGATGCTATTACTTAGGTGGGGAAGATCTAAGTAATAGCAACCTGTAGGAACATGTTGAGGAGGGAGTAAGGAGTTTCTTTTGAGATATGTTAAGGCTGAGATTTCTATGAGACTTAAAAGTAGAATTCTTTAGAGGGCAGTGAGATATATGGACTTGAAATTTGTGGTTGAGATCCAGACCAGAGGTTTGAATTTTGGAGTTATCAACATGCAGACGCTTTTTAAAAGTATGAGACTGGGTGAGATCTCTTAGGAAGTTAATTTGGATAGATTAAAGAAGAAAGAGGACTGAGGGCCTTGTCCTGAGGCCCTCCAACATTTAGAGTGTAAAGAAATGAGGGAGAAACTGCAAAGAAGACCTAAGGAGTGGTCTTAGAGATTGGAGAAGCAAGAGACTGTGCTGTCCCAGAAGCCAAAGGAAGAAAGTGTTTCCAAAAAGAGTATGTAGTATATTCTATTAAATGTTGTCAGTAGGTGAAATTGTAAGGATTGAAAATCGATTTTGAATTCAGCAACAGAATGATTATTGGTGACCTTGGCATAATGTATTTTAGTGAAGCGGTAGCATCAAATGACTGTTTGGAGTACGTTCAAGAGAAAATATGAGGGTGGAGCCAAGATGGCCAAATAGGAACAGCTCCAGTCTATGGCTCCCAGCACGAGCAATGCAGAAGATGAATGATTTCTGCATTTCCAACTGAGGTACCGGGTGCATCTCACTGGGGATTGTCAGACAGGGGGTGCCATACACCGAGCCTGAGCCAAAACAGGGCGAGGCATCGCCTCACCAGGGAAGGGCAAGGGGTCAGGGAATTCCCTTTCCTAGCCAAGGAAAGGGGTGATGGATGGCACCTGGAAAATCGGGTCACTCCCACCCTAATACTGCACTTTTCCGACAGTCTTAGCAAAGGGCACACCAGGAGATTATATTGTGTGCCTGGCTCAGAGGGTCCTATGCCCATGGAGCCTTGCTCATTGCTAGCACAGTAGTCTGAGATCAAACTGCTAGGTGGCAGTGAGGCTAGGGGAGGGGCACTCGCCATTGCTCAGGCTTGAGTAGGTAAACAAAGCAGCTGGAAACTCGAACTGGGTGGAGCCCACTGCAGCTCAAGGAGGCCTACCTGCCTTTATAGACTCCACCTCTGGGGACAAGGCATAGCCAAACAAAAGAGAGCAGAAACCTCTGCAGACTTCAAAGTCCCTGTCTGACAGCTTTGAAGAGAGTAGTGGTTCTCCCAGCACGCAGCTTGAGATCTGAGAATGGACAGACTGCCTCCTCAAGTGGGTCCCTGACCCCCAAGTAGCCTAAATGGGAGGCACCCCCCAGTAGTGGCAGACTGACACCTCACATGGCCGGGTACTCCTCTGACACAAAACGTTCAGAGGAATGATCAGGCAGCCACATTTGCTGCTCACCAATATCCACTGTTCTGCAGCCTCCACTGCTGATACCCAGGCAAACAGGGTCTGGAGTGGACCTCCAGCAAACTCCAACAGACCTGCAGCTGAGGGTCCTGACTGTTAGAAGGAAAACTAACAAACAGAAAGAATATCCACACCAAAACCCCATTTGTAGGTCACCATCATGAAAAACCAAAGGTAGATAAAACCACAAAGATGAGGAAAAAAACAGCAGAAAAACTGAAAAATCTAAAAATCAGAGCACCTCTCCTCCTCCAAAGGAACACAGCTCCTCACCAGCAATGGAACAAAGCTGGATGGAGAATGACTTTGATGAGTTGAGATAAGAAGGCTTCAGATGATCAAACTACTCCAAGCTAAAGGAGGAAGTTTGAACCCATGGCAAAGAAGTTAAAAACCTTGAAAAAAGATTAGACGAATGGCTAACTAGAATATCCAATGCAGAGAAGTCCTTAAAGACCCTGATGGAGCTGAAAACCATGGCACGAGAACTACATGATGAATGCACAAGCCTCAGTAGCCTATTTAATCAACTGGAAGAAAGGGTATCATTGATGGAAGATCAAATGAATGAAATGAAGCAAGAAGAGAGTTTAGAGAAAAAAGAATAAAAAGAAATTAACAAAGCCTCCAAGAAATATGGGACTATGTGAAAAGACCAAATCTACGTCTGATTGGTGTACCTGAAAGTGATGGGGAGAATGGACCCAAGCTGGAAAACACTCTGCAGGATATTATCCAGTAGAACTTCCCCAATCTAGCAAGGCAGGCCAACATTCAAATTCAGGAAATACAGAGAACACCAGAAAGGTACTCCTCAAGAAGAGCAACTCCAAGACACATAATTGTCAGATTCACCAAAGTTGAAATGAAGGAAAAAGTGTTAAGGGCAGCCAGAGAGAAAGGTCGGGTTACCCACAAAGGGAAGCCCATCAGACTAACAGCTGATCTCTCGGCAGAAACTCTACAAACCAGAAGAGAGTGGGGGAAAATATTCAACATTCTTAAAAACAAGAATTTTCAACCCAGAATTTCTTATCCAGCCAAACTAAGCTTCATAAGTGAAGGAGAAATAAAATCCTTTACAGACAAGCAAATTCTGTGAGATTTTGTCACCACCAGGCCTGCCCTAAAAGAGCTCCTGAAGGAAGCACTAAACATGGAAAGGAACAACCAGTACCAGCTACTGCAAAAACATGCCAAATTGTAAAGATCATCAAGGGTAGGAAGAAAGTGCATCAACTAACGAGCAAAATAACCAGCTAACATCATAATGACAGGATCAAATTCACACATAATGATATTAACTTTAAATGTAAATGGGCTAAATGCTCCAATTAAAAGACACAGACTGGCAAATTGGATAAAGAGTCAAGACCCATCAGTGTGCTGTATTCAGGAAACCCATCTCCTGTGCAAAGACACACATAGGCTCAAAATAAAGGGATGGAGGAAGATCTACCAAGCAAATGGAAAAGAAAAAAAGACAGGGGTTGCAATCCTAGTCTCTCATAAAACAGACTTTAAACCAACAAAGATTAAAAGAGACAAAAAAGGCCATTACATAATGGTAAAGGGATCAATTCAACAAGAAGAACTAACTATCCTAAATATATATGCACCCAATACAGGAGCACCCAGATTCATAAAGCAAGTCCTTAGAGACCAATAAAGAGAATTAGACTCCCACAAAATAATAATGGGAGACTTTAACACCCCACTGTCAACATTAGACAGAACAACGAGACAGAAAGTTAACAAGGATATCCAGGAATTGAACTCAGCTCTGCACCAAGTGGGCCTAATAGACTTCTACAGAACTCTCCACCCCAAATCAATAGAATATACATTCTTTTCAGCACCACACCTCACCTATTCCAAAATTGACCACATAGTTGGAAGTAAAGCACTCCTCAGCAAATGTAAAAGAACAGAAATTATAACAAACTGTCTCTCAGACGATAGTACAATCAAACTAGAACTCAGGATTAAGAAACTCACTCAAAACCACTCAACGACATAGAAACTGAACAACCTGCTCCTGAATGACTACGGGGTACATAACAAAATAAAGGCAGATATAAAGATGATCTTTGAAACCAATGAGAACAAAGACACAACATGCTAGAATCTCTGGGACACATTCAAAGCAGTGTGTAGAGGGAAATTTATAGCACTAAATGCCCACAAGACAAAGCAGAAAAGATCTAAAATGGGCACCCTAACATCACAATTAAAAGAACTAGAGAAGCAAGAGCAAACACCTTCAAACACTAGCAGAAGACAAGAAATAACTAAGATCAGAGCAGAACTGAAGGAAATAGAGACACAAAAATCCCTTCAAAAAATCAATGAATCCAGGAGCTGGTTTTTTGAAAAGATCAACAGAATTGATAGACCACTAGCAAGACTAATAAAGAAGATAAGAGAGAAGAATCAAATAGATGCAATAAAAAATGATAAAGGTGATATCACCACCAATCCCACAGAAATACAAACTACCATCAGAGAATACTATAAACACCTCTATGCAAATAAACTAGAAAATCTGGAAGAAATGGATAAATTACTTGACACATACACTCTCCAAAGACTAAACCAGGAAGAAGTTGAATCTCTGAATACACCAATAACAGGTTCTGAAATTGAGGCAATAATTAATAGCTTACCAACCAAAAAAAGTCCAGGGCAAGACGGATTCACAGCTGAATTCTACCAGAGATACAAGGAGGAGCTGGTACTATTCCTTCTGAAACTATCCCAATCAATAGAAAAAGAGGGAATCCTCCCTAACTCATTTTATGAGGCCAGTATCATCCTGATACCAAAGCCTGGCAGAGACACAACAAAAAAAGAGAATTTTAGACCAATATCCCTGATGAACATCGATGCAAAAATCCTCAATAAAATACTGGCAAACCAAATCCAGCAGCACATCAAAAAGCTTATCCACCATGATCAAGTATGCTTCATCCCTGGGATGCAAGGCTGGTATAACATACGCAAATCAATAAATGTAATCCAGCATATAAACAGAACCAAAGACAAAAACCACATGATTATCTCAATAGATGCAGAAAAGGCCTTTGACAAAATTCAACAATGCTTCATGTTAAAAACTCTCAATAAATTAGGTATTGATGAGATGTATCTCAAAATAATAAGAGCTATCTATGACAAACTCATGGCCAATATCATACTGAATGGGCAAAAACTGGAAGCATTCCCTTTGAAAACGTGCACAAGACAGGGATGCCCTCCCTCACCACTCCTATTCAACATAGTGTTGGAAGATCTGGCCAGGGCAATTAGACAGGAGAAGGAAATAAAGTGTATTCAATTAGGAAAATAGGAAGTCAAATTGTCCCTGTTTGCAGATGACATGATTGTATATCTAGAAAACCCCATCATCTAAGCCCAAAATCTCCTTAAGCTGATAAGCAACTTCAGCAAAGTCTCAGGATACAAAATCAATGTGTAAAAATCACAAGCATTTTTATACGTCAATAGCAGACAAACAGAGAGCCAAACCATGAGTGAACTCCCATTCACAATTGCTTCAAAGAGAATAAAATACCTAAGAATCCAACTTACAAGGGATGTGAAGGAGCTCTTCAAAGATAACTACAAACCACTGCTCAATGAAATAAAAGAGGATACAAATAAATGGAAGAACACTCCATGCTCGTGGGTAGGAAGAATCAATATCATGAAAATGGTCATACTGCCCAAGGTAATTTATAGATTCAATGCCATCCCCATCAAGCTACCAATGACTTTCTTCACAGAATTGGAAAAAACTACTTTAAAGCTCATATGGAAGCAAAAAAGAGCCCACATTGCCAAGTCAATCCTAAGCCAAAAGAACAAAGCTGGAGGCATCACGCTACCTGACTTCAAACTATACTATAAGGCTACAGTAACCAAAACAGCATGGTACTGGTACCAAAACAGAGATATAGACCAATGGAACAGAACAGAGCCCTCAGAAATAATGCCACATATCTACAACTATCTGATCTTTGACAAACCTGAGAAAAACAAGAAACGGGGAAAGATTCCCTATTTAATAAATGGTGCTGGGAAAACTGGCTAGCCATATGTAGAAAGCTGAAACTGGATCCCTTCCTTACACCTTATACTAAAATTAATTCAAGATGGATTAAAGATTTGAATGTTAGACCTAAAACCATAAAAACCCTAGAAGAAAACCTAGGCAATGCCATTCAGGACATAGGCAAGGGCAAGGACTTCATGTCTAAAACACCAAAAGCAATGGCAACAAAAGTCAAAATTGAAAAATGGGATCTAATTAAACTAAAGAGCTTCTGCACAGCAAAAGAAACTACCATAAGAGTGAACAGGCAACCTACAGAATGGGAGAAAATTTTTGCAATCCTCTTATCTGACAAAGGGCTAATATCCAGAATCTACAACGAACTCAAACAAATTTACAAGAAAAAAACAAACAACCCCATCAACAAGTGGGCGAAGGATATGAACAGACACTTCTCAAAAGAAGACATTTATGCAGCCAAAAGACACATGAGAAAATGCTGGCCATCAGAGAAATGCAAATCAAACCACAAATGAGATACCATCTCACACCAGTTAGAATGGCGATCATTAGAAAGTCAGGAAACAACAGGTGCTGGAGAGGATGTGGAGAAATTGGAACACTTTTACACTGCTGGTGGGACTGTAAACTAGTTCAACCATTGTGGAAGTCGGTGTGGCAATTCCTCAGGGATCTAGAACTAGAAATACCATTTGACCCAGCCATCCAATTACTGGGTGTATATACCCAAAGGATTATAAATCATGAAGCTATAAAGACACATGCACACGTACGTTTATTGTAGCACTATTCACAATAGCAAAGACTTGGAACCAACCGAAATGTCCAACAACAATAGACTGGATTAAGAAAATGTGGCCCATATACACCATGGAATACTATGCAGCCATAAAAAATGATGAGTTCACGTCCTTTGTAGGGACATGGTTGAAGCTGGAAACCATCATTCTCAGCAAACTATCGCAAGTACAAAAAACCAAACACCACATGTTCTCACTCATAGGTGGGAAATGAACAATCAGAACACATGGACACAGGAAGGGGAACATCACACACCGGGGCCCGTTGTGGGGTTGGGGGAGGGGGGAGGGATAGCATTTGCAGATATACCTAATGTTAAATGACGAGTTAATGGGCGCAGCACAGCAACATGACACATGTATATATATGTAACAAACCTCCACGTTGTGCACATGTACCCTAAAACTTAAAGTATAATTAAAAAAAAACAAAAAACAAATTCTAGGGATTACACCCTTAAAAAAAAAAAGAAAATGTGAAGAGAGGAATTGGAGAAAAAGAAAATAGTTCCTTGGCAATAGTGGTTCTGGATATTCACTCCAATTGTAATACTTCATTCTTAGGGCCAGGTCGGTATGTCCTTTCCTGACCCTTCAGCATAGTGAATTCATATTCACACTTCTAACCCATGCTTACCATATAGTGAATTCATATTCACACTTCAAACCCATGCTTACCATATAGTGAATTCATATTCACACTTCAAACCCATGCTTACCATATCTGCATGTGTGGATTCTTTTTGATTTTTCAGATAGAACAAATCATTTTCGGCTTTATATGTGTTTTTAGCATAAACAGATTGTAGTACATAATTTATTCTCCACCAGGCAGTAACTTCATGACAGTAAGTGTTGTGATTTTCTAGAATTCTCAGTGCTAAGTATAATGTCTGCCTATCATTTAATAATGTTCAGTTAATGTTTGTTGAACTAAACCGTATTATCTTAAAGAAATGTAGGGTCCATGTTTTCCCTTCCATTTCCAAAGGCATAATTGTGTGCCCTGCACCATGCCTTCTCCCTCACCTCCCGCTCTCCTGTCCACCCACCGGTAGCCTCAAACAGGATTCTTGTTGGAAGTTTGGCAAAGCCCTTCTTTTCATTTTTACTTTTATTATCATAAGTTCTTCCAGTTGAAGTCAGAGGGGCCCTCGCTGATGCATACAGCCAAGGAGTCTGCTTGGTGTCTTTGATGTGTTCCATCATGTTAATTTGTGGTGGCATGAAGTGGGTGACCCCATAATGTTCCTTTTTTCCATACATCATTAGGCCCAGCTAAGGGCTTTGTGAGTTTTCCACTCAGGCAACTGTGTTTTCCTAATATGCCTTCACCAAATGCTGACATCATTTCATCTCCAGAATCATTTCAGTTACATTAGAAACAGTCTTTTATTGCACTTTGGAAGCATTTTGAGATGACAAATTATTTATTTCTATATTCAATCGGCTGTTCTTTTCTTTCTCTGGCTCTTCAATTACAGCTGTTGAACCACAGCTGTAATTTGGGGTCTTAGCTCAAAGTGACTGCTCTGTGTTTTTCTCAAGGGTCAGAAAATCGAATCTGTATTCTGCTAGTCAGACACACTGTAAAGAGTGCCACCTTTGCCTGGGTTGTTTGGAAGGCCCATAGGTCTTGGTAACTTGGTGGATTTTGATGCACAGCCATGAGTTCCACAGGGCATTAATTCTGCTCCATTGCCTGTCCATTTGAACTAAAAAGTGCCAGTGAATACATTATACTTGGGGACCTCCAAATCCCACTTTAGTTCTTGAGGTCACTGATGTTTGCTATCTTTCGGTATCCAGAGCACATTTGAAGTGTGTTGCTATTGTGTCCTTTTTCATTTATCTTTGACAAATGCATCAGCTCTTGCTCTTGAGGAAATTAACATTTCCTTTGGTTCAGAAAGCAAGATTATTTGGAAAGGTCAATGTATGTGGCACAGCACTCTGTTTTGTTTCTACAGAGACAAGTGTCTGCTATATTTCAGTGATGCCTCAGCTTAAAGGCTAGCTTATTTATACTGAATAGCCACATAGAAATGATCACTATAAATTCATTTGTTGTTTGAAAGAAACTGCTTTCATGCAGATTTTATGAGGGAATCCATTAAAAGAAATATTATCAAACCTGAGCTTAAGGAGCCATTTCTGTTCTGTTTAAACCAGATTCTAAGTAACAGATGTATTTCTCCCTTCTAACATGACAGTGATTCAGAATTTGTCATAGAGTGGAGCAAGAAAGAGAAACCCATAAAGACTGACCATAGAGACTTCAGGAGTTTGTCAATCCTGCAGAGAAAAAGACTACAGGAAAAAAAGGCAAAAGCTGAACACAGTAAGGAGCAGTCAGGATGGCAACACAGAGATAAAAGAAGCCACCTTTTCTCTCCTTTCAAGACATGGAACCATGCACAAGATTGACTTGCCTCTGGGCTATGAAAGATGTGAAATGCTGCCCTAAGGAGAGGCCAGAGTATTTCCTCAGCCCAGAGGGTAAAGTAAAAATCTATCAATTGGATTTTGATGGCAGGGAGTGGGAATTTATTCACTTTATATTCCTTTTGTGGCTTTCACTGTTCATTATATTTCTTTTAAATTAACTGGTAGAAAACATGGCTGACCTCTGTGTCAGATACTTTCAGGAGGGCCAGTTGGAGATTGGAAATGGGGTAGGGATTTGAAGGGTGAGATTAGACAGCCAGTTTCAACCCTACCTGAACATTAGAATTGCCAGAGGAGCCCAGACTCCACTCATTGTGATGTCTTAATTAATTGCCTTGGAGTGGAACCTGAATAATCTATTTTTTTAAAGTTCCTCAGTTATAATGTGTAGCCAGGCTGGGAACCCTTGAGTTGCAGTATATGACAACACAGCAATAGTCCATGAAAGTAATTCCCAGCAGGAATCTAGTGTTAAGCCTACATAGTTTTACTTGAAGGTCTGTAGTCCATTACCTTGGTTATTTAGGTGCAGCTGTGCTGCTGATATTCTCTCAACTTTTGTTGACATGAACAAGACTTTAGTTTTCTTTTACTCTTAGAGGATAGTTGCTTTGGATATAATCTAGGTTGACAAGTTTTCTATTTCATCACCTTAAAAATATCATCCCATTTTCTTCTGGTCTTCATGATTTCGGCATAGGAATAAGCTGTTATTATCTTTGTTCTTTTATAATTAATATGGGTTTTTTTCCTTCTAACCTCATTTAATATTTTCCCTTTATTACTTATTTTCAGCAATTTGATTTTGATGTACCTTGGTTTTGTTTTGTTTGTGTGTTCCTGGAATTTGTTGAGCACCTCAGATCTGTTGTTTTATAATTTTCATCACATTTTTGGTCACTATTTCTTCAAATATTTTAATTTCCTGTCTGCTTCTTCTATAGGACTCTAATTATATGCTGTCTTAGTCCATTTTGTGTTGTTGTAACAGAATACTACAGACTGGGTAATTTACAAAGAACATATTTTTTTTTTTCTCATGGATCCAGAGGCTGGGAAGTCCAAAATTGAAGGGCTGCATCTGGTAAGGACATTCTTGCTGTATCATAATGTGGTGGAAAGCATCACATGACAAGAGAGTGCATGCATGTGAGAGAGGAAGGGGGCCAAACATTATTTTATCAAGAATTCACTGTCATAATAACTAACCTACTCCTGAGATAATGGCTTTAATAAGTTCATGAGGACAGAGCCCTCATGACCTAATCACATCTTAGTTTCCTCCTCTCAATACTGTTGCATTGGGGATTAGGTTTTCAACACACAAATGTTGAAGGACACATTCAAACCACAGCACAGGTATATTAAACTATTTGATATTACCCCAAAGCTCAATGAGGATATGTTTATTTTTTATTTTTTCTTATTTTTTTTTTTTGAGATAGAGTCTTGCCCTGTCTCCCAGGCTGGAGTGCAGTGACATGATCTCAGCTCACTGCAACCTCCGCCTCCCAGGTTCAAGCAATTCTCCTGCCTCAGCCTCCCAAGTAGCTGGGACTACAGGCGCATGCTGCCACGCCTGGCTAATTTTTTTTTGTATTTTAGTAGAGATGGGCTTTCACTGTGTTGATCAGGCTGGCCTTGAACTCCTGAGCTCAGGCAATCCACCCATCTTGGTCTCCCAAAATGCTGGGATTACAGGCGTGAACAACTGTGCCTGGCCTTCTGCTGTGTTCTATATGCTATTAATCCAACCCAGTGCATTTTTCATTTAAGATTGTGTCTTTAATCTCTGTAAATTCCATTTGAGCTTTTAAAGATATCTTCCATTTTCTCTTCTCAGTTTATTCATGTATTTATTTACATCCTTAAGCATATTCATACAATTTATCTTAGCAGTTTAAAAGTCCTTGTCTTCTTTTTTAATCATTTTTGCTATTTCTCAGTCTAGTTTTATTGACTACATTTTCTGCTGATTATGGATCATGTTTTTCTGCTTTTCATGCCTGATAATTTTTTGTATCTTAAAAATTTATATCTGTTATTTTTTATGAGTTTTATTTAAATTCAGGGATACATGTGCAATATGTGCAGGTTTGTTACATAGGTAAATGTATATCAAGGGGGTTTGTTTTATATTCATCAGCCAAGTATTAAGCCTAGTATCCATTAGTTATTTTTCCTGACTCTCTTCCTCCTCCAAACTTCTGCCATCTGGTAGGCCCCAATGTGTGTTGTTCCTCTTTATGTGTCCATGTGTTCTCATCATTTAGCTCCCACTTATAAGTCAGAACATGTGGTATTTGGTTTTCTCTTCCTAGGTTAGTTTGCTAAGGATGATGGCCTTCAGCTCCATCCATGTCCCTGCAAAAGACATGATCTTTTTCCTTTTTATGGCTGCAGAGTATCCCATGGTATATATGTACCACATTTTCTTTAACCAGTCTATCACTGATGGACATTTAGGTTGATTCCATGTCTTTGCTACTGTGAATAGTGCTACAGTGAACATATGTATGCATTTATCTTTATAATAGAAGAATTTATAGTCCTTTGGGTATATAGCCAGTAAGACATTGATGGGTTGAATTGTATTTCTGTCTCTAGGTCTCTGAGGAATCATCACACTGTCTTCCACAATGGTTGAACTAATTTATACTCCCCAAAACAGTGTAAAAGTGTTTCTTTTTCTCTACAACCTCACCAACATCTATTATTTTTTGACTTTTTAATAACAGCCTTTCTGACTTGTGTGAGATGGTATCTCATTGTGGTTTTGATTTGTATTTCTCTAAAGATCAGTGATACTGAGCTTTTGAAAATATGATTGCTGGCCGTGTGTATATCTTCTTTAGAAAAGTGTCTGTTCATGTTCTTTGCCCACTTTTTAATGGGGTTGTTTCTTTCTTGTAAATTTGTTTAAATTCCTTATAGATGCTGGATATTAGGCCTTTGTCAGATGCATAGTTTGCAAACATTTTCTCCCATTCTGTAGATTGTCTGTTTACTCTGTTGATAGTTTCTTTTGCTGTGCAGAAGCTCTTTAATTAGATCCCATTTGTCAATTTTTGCTTTTGTTGCAGTTGCTTTTGACATCTTTGTCATGAACTCTTTGCCCATTCTTATGTTCAGGATGGTACTGCCTAGGTTGTCTTCCAGGGTTTTTATAGTGTTATTCTTTACATTTAAGTCTTTACTCTATCTTGAGTTGATTTATGTATATGGTGTAGGAAAGGGGTCCAGTTTCAATACTCTGTATACGGCTAGCCAGTTCTCCTGCATTTATTAAATAGGGAACCATTGCCCCATTGCTTCTTTTTGTTGGCTTTGTTGAAGATCAGATGGTTGTAGGTGTGTGGTCTTATTTCTGGGTTCTCTGTTCTGTTCCATTGGTTGATGTGTCTATTCTTGTACCAGTACCATGCTGTTTTGGTTAGGTTACTGTAGCCCTGTAGTATAGTTTGAAGTCAGGTAACATGATGCCTCCAGATTTGTCCTTTTTGTTTAGGATTACCTTGGCTTTTGGGCTCTTTTTTTTGGTTCCATATGAATTTTAAAATAGTTTTTTTTCTAGTTCTGTGAAGAATGTCAATGGTAGTTTAGTGTCAATGGCATTAAATCTATAAATTGCTAGTGGCAGTATGGTCATTTTAACAATACTGATTCTTCCTATCCATGAGCACAGCATGTTTTTCTATTTATTTGTGTCATCTCTGATTTATTTGAGCAGTGTTTTGTAATTTTCCTGTAGAGATCCTCCACTTCTCTTGTTACTGATATTCCTAGGTATTTTATGCTTTTTGGGGCAATTGTGAATGGGGGTTCATTCATGATTTGCATGCCTAATAATTCTAAAATTATTTCTGACATTGTGAGTTTTATGGTTTGCTGAAATTATTTGTATTCCTTTAAAGAGTATTGGATTTTATTCTGGTGTGTAGTTTCATAACTGGCAGGTAAATTTGAAACTTTTAAGACTTAATTTTAAGCTTTGTTAGGTGTTCCCAGGGAAGTCTTTATCCTGGGATTAATTTAGCTCCAATATTAAGGCAGGACCCTTCTGTGGACTGTATGCAATGACCCATGTTAGGAGGTCTCTTCATTCTGGCTTGTGGAAACACAAGCTATTTTCACTTCTGTGTGAGCTATGAGAAGCTGTTTTATAGCTTTCCTCAGTCTTTGGTAGTTTCTTATCATTCATGGGTAGGTCAGTATTCAGCCAAAGACTCAAGAAGATCCCTATGCAGAACTCCAGAGCTCTCTGTGAAGTTCTGCTATGCAATGAATTATATACCATAAAATTTATGTATTGAAGCCCTAATCCCTAATGTAATGGTATTTGGAGATGGGGCCTTTGGGAGACAATTGGTCTAGATGAGGTCATGGGGTGGTGTTCTGAAGTATGGCTCCCTCACCCTCCCCTTCTCCTTCCCCCACTCCTCTCTCTGCCATGTTAGGGTACAGCAAGAAGGCAGTGATCTGCCAACCAGGAAGAGAGTCCTCATCAGAACCTGGCATCCTGATCTGAGACTTCCAGCCTCTAGAACTTTGAGAAAACAAACCCCTGCTTCCTAAGCCACCCAGCCATGGTATTTTGTTATGACAGCCTGAGCTGAGTCAAGTTGTCTCTTCTTTGTTTTTAAATATGACAGTTATAGGAGTCTCCACCTTCCCAAACTTTAATCCCTATTCCTTAATTTGGAGCCCCCTCCTTGACTGTGATCTGAAAACTGTTTGAAGGCATTAACTTAGAGTTCACTGATAATCTTGTTTCCCTTTTCTCAGGGATCACATTCTGTTGCCCAGAATCTGAAAACTTTTGTTTTATATACTTTATCTGGTTTTCTTGGCTATGGTGAGGTGGCAATTCCTGTGGCAGCTAACACTTCATAGGCAGAAACCTGTGTCTTTTTAATACAATCTCATTTTATTTTATTGCTTCTGGATGTTGAATGATAGTTTGAAACATTCCTCCCTCTCCCAGGTAATAGAGGAATTTACCCATGTCTTAGTCTAATAGTTCTGTAGTTTTCTTTTTAACAAATTTAGTATATTTAACAAATTAGTATATGATGAATATTTTTATCTCTAAAAATTCTTTTTGTTTAAAGTGGAAGTTATTAATCCTCATTCTGTATCATAAGTACCTAGGGAACTTTTAGAAACATCCATGCCCAGGCCTCACTTTTAGAAGTTAATTGGTGAGGGTAAAACACTGGTAACTTAAAAACTTTTTCCAAAATTATTATAATGTGTAAACAGGTCTGAGAACTATTAAAGTCTTCTTTTTTCTTTCTGATATTAATCCAGCACCTTTGACCAGCCATGAAACCTTCCTTCCAATATTAATTATACTGGCTTTCATTTGATTAGTTTTGCCTTAGTAGTTTTTCTATGCTTTAACTTTCTAACTTTTTCTGTTCTTTATATTTTAAACTTGTCTTTTTGTTTACTTGTCTTTTATAGGTAGCATAAACCTGGATTTAAAAAAAATTCTCTAATTTGAAATGTTTATCTCTTTGCTGGTATGTTTAGTCCATTTACTTTTATTGTTATTTCTAATATTTTGGATTTACTTCTACTAGTTTACTTAGCATTTTCTCTGTGTACTGCTTTTCCTATATCCCCTTTTTCTTCCATTCTGATTTTCTATCTTCTGAATTTATTACAGTCAAAAACTTTCGCCTCCCGCCCCCGCTGCCAACATCTGGTTTGGAAGTCACACACTCTACTTCCATTCTTTTTGTGATTACTTTTGAAATTATTATGAAATATACCTAAAGCCTAAAGTTAATAAATATCTTAACCTCCTTCTGAACTTTGGAAAGACCTTAGAACACTTGAATTCTAATCATATGTTTGCATCGTATATCTAATTTTTGCCCAATATTTTTAAGTCTATCGTATTTTAAACACCACAAATTAGATATTATTATTTTATATGGATATATTTTAGATTTATTATCATGTTTACCAAGAAGACATGGAAAGACAGAAATAAGTACCGAGAGTTAATATGTAGAAGAGTGGCAAATGAATTTGAATACCAAAATAGAATTATAAAATAGTTACACACCTTCTCTGTATGAAAACAAAAATTTGTGGTTACAACCTAAAGACAAAGAATTGTTATAGAATGTTTTCTGATGACATCAGATCAACCTAAGGCTAAAATTTAAAATAGTTGGCATTTTTATCAAGGAAATGAAAATCTAAACAATATATTCTATAACCCTATTATAGTATTTTCACCTGAAATCTGGAAGAGTGTAGTCAATTCTAATGCATCTTAAGAGAGAAATGGTAGATCAATGACCAAAGATGTGTTTCTGGCTTTGGTAATAATAGCCATCATATAAAGGACAACTGGGAAACTTCAATCTAGGAGGTTAAGGCTAAAGAAAGACATGACTAAAATTTATAAATTAAGCAGTGTATAAGGTAATACATGATCTCATCAAACTGTGAAGGAACAGTGTGTCATTCTTTAAAACTTGTTCCTGCATTTAAGCAAAGGAAGGACATAATTTTGGAAGGTGTGTGGAGCTTAATAAATGGGGGCCGTTGTAAATGAATTCATAGTGATTTGAGTGAATTTAGGAATGGCAAAGCTACAAGGAGATAGAAAAAAGAAGCTGGAATATAAATATGAATATATTATGTGCACATGCATGTGTGTGCACACAGACATACACACATGTGCCCACACACACAACCACATCATGTCACTTGGAAGCATTTGATACAGCAGAATACTAGATTGTATTGTCCAGTTTGACAATTTCCACATTTTGATGTTGCAGTGAGAGAACGAAAATGTATTTTGGAACAGATATCAAGAAAAGTCATACTGTATTGGTGGAACTTGAGCTAATAAATCATTGAGAGAAGGCTGGAGAGTGAAGAGGATAAGATGTTTCAAGATATCTGCCAGACAGTGGGGGGTGAGAGGGAAAAGCAGGGAGCCTGAATTTAGCCAGTTTGAATAATAGATCCTTGTTACCACATGAGCACTGAATTGAAAGCTTCCTGAGAGTTGGAATAGTGTAAGATAAGAGGATAGACTCTGGACAAGTGGAGCCCAACAGAACTATGACTTGTGCCAGTTATTAAAAAGACAAAAAATAACAGATGCTGGCAAGGCTGTGGAGAAAAGAGTATGCTTATAAACAGTGGGAATGTAAATTAGTTCAGCCACTGTGGACAGCAGTTTGGAGATGTCTTAATGAACTTCAAACAGAACTACCATTTGACTTAGCAATCCCATCACTGCGTATATACCCTAAGGAAAAGAAATCATTTTACCAAAAAAAGACACATGCACTCGTATGTTCATCACAGTACCATTAACAATAGCAAAGTCATGGAATCAATCTAGGTGCCCATCAGCAGTGGATTGGGTAAAGAAACTGTGGTACATATACAACACAGAATACCATGCAGCCACAAAAATAATGAAATCATGTTCTTTGCAGCAATATAGATGCAGCTGGAGGCCATCATCTTAAGCAAATTAATGCAGGAACAGAAAACCAAATGCTGCATGTTCTCACTTATAGGTGGAAGTTAAACTTTGGGTACATATGACATAAAGATGAGAACAATAGTCACTGGGGACTACTAGAGGGAGGATGAAGGGAGTGGGGAAAGGGCTGAAAAACTATTGGGTACTATGTTCAGTACCTGGGTGATGGGTTCAGTCATACCCAAACCTCAGCATCATGCAATATACCCACGTAACAAACCTGCACATGTACTCCTTGAATCTGAAACAAAAGTTGAAATTATTAAAAAAAGGTAGTTTCTATGCAGTAAAAAAGAAATATAATGTGAGCCATATCTGCACTTTTAAATTTTCTTATGCAAAAGAAATAGATGACATTGTACTAATATGTTTTTATTGAACCCAATATATCTAAAATATTTCCATATGTAGTCAATATAAAAAATTACCAATGAGATATTTTACAGTCTTGTTTTTAATACCAAGTCTTCAAAGTCTAATTTTACACTTATAGCATGTATTAGTTTGGAAGCTAAATTTTCATCAGAAATACTTGATCTGTATTTAGATTTCATAAATTTCATAAATTTATGGTTGAAAAGTACATTCACATACTCAATAACCAACTTAACTGTTGGTTTTTAAAATTAAATTTAAATTAATTTAATGAAATTAAAAAATTTTCCCAGTTGCATTAGCTGTATTTTAAATGCTCATTAGCTGTATGTGGCTATTGGACAGTGAAGCTCTAATGCCTGATTTTTCAAAATCTGTCTGCAAGTTAACCACTTCCTAGTTATTTGAACATGTTACTTAACCTTTCTAAATCTTGGTTTCCTTACTTTTCAAGTGAACTAGTAATATTATCTGGTTCATAGGAATAATTTGAAGGTTAAATCAGATAACCCATGTAATGCACATAACGCAGTGCATTGCACATACCAAGTGCTAATTTTGGGTTATTATTTTGACAATTAGAAACCTGGGGATGAGAACCAGGCAGGACTTAGGAAGAATGAAAAATCTGTCTTGAGCATCCTGACTTTGAGGTGAAGATGGTGAATCTAACTGAAGAAGAAGATTAGAATTTAGGTGAAGGGGTTATGCCCAGAGAAAGCACAGGAGAATAGAGCCTCATGGATGTTCTTATGACTGGCTATAGCAGGGATCATCCACTTTTCTTTCTTTCTCACTAGACTGTAAAGCATTTGATGTTTCCTAGATGTGATTAGTGCAACTTAGAAACTGATTAGATTTTGGCCGGGCACAGTGGCTCATGTCTGTAATCCCAGCACTTTGGGAGGCCAAGGCGGGGAGATCACCTGAGGTCAGGAGTTGGAGACCACCTGAGGTCAGGAGTTGGAGACCTGTCTGGCCAACATGGTGAAACCCCATCCTACTGAAAATACAAAAATTAATGAGGCCTGGTGGTGTACACCTGTAATCCCAGCTTCTCGGGAGGCTGAGGCAGGAGAATTGCTTGAACTCAGGAGGCAGAAGTTGCAGTGAGCCAAGATGGCACCGCTTCACTCCAGCCTGGGCAAGACTCTCCTAAAAAAAAAAAAAAAAAAAAAAAAAAAAAAAAAAACTGATTCGATTTTAACTGACTGGAATTGATCCTGCACAGAGTAGTCATTTAAGAAATGCCTATTAAATGAACAAATTGGAACCACCAAGGGACTAAATATAACAAGGGAATAGAAAATTGAATACCAAAAATAAATGTTTTAGAGGGCTTTGGCTGATTATTACCTGATCATATGCTTCTAAAATAATGACAGTTCAAGTGAACATTTTAGGCATACTCTCAGATATACCTTTCGATATGGATGAAAAGCATTAATTTTAGCTAAAAGTTTGGTGTATAAGAGTGACTCTGAGATATTAAAAATAAAATTCTTCATTCTCAAAAGGGCACTGTTATAATTCAAATTAATATAGTCTTTGTTGTTGTTGTTTCTTCTCATTATTTGCATTTTAAGCCCATCTCTATGTTTTGAGATTTTGAAGACTGTGAAAGTCATATGAAAGGTATAAAAAAGATTACCCGCTATTCCTCCCTCCTAACAAATCTTTCTCTCTCAACAGTTATGTGTCAGAGAATTCTATTAGTGGACAACGAAGAGGCAATCTAATTAGTGTGACGTCGTTTCCCCGTTTGGTGACACTTTTTAATAGCATTCTTCAGGCTATTTCATTTGACACTTTGGAACAGCTGCCAAGTCCTTTCCTGCTCCCTGTAAACAAGGCTGTCATTCACAGAGCTTTCCCTTACCTTGCGTAGGGAATGGAGGTTAATGACTTTGGAAATCAAAAACAGAACAGCCATCAAAAGGACTTTTAATACCAGGAGAATTATAGGAGAATAATTGAATCAAATAAAATAAGAATATAAATAGACCGTGTTACAAGCTGCATTTGTTAAAAGGTTTCCTATCAGTTGAAGTTTTGTGTTACCTGGGAAGAGTAATAAAAAGAAATAAAATAGATTGAAAATGGTTACCCTTGAGAAGCTATTTCTGACTTTTTGGCAGGATTCCCCTGTGGCTGCGGATGCCCATATAGTGTGTCTCATCCCTACTTTCTTTCAACTTCAATTCTGCTTTACAAGTAAGACTTCTGATAGTTTTTTTTCCCCTTAGAGTGTCTTTGATTTATCATTTAGTTTAGTGGTTAAAGAATGAGACAGGCATTTGTATCTAGGGAAATACTGACACTTTTAGGCTTCTGATAGGTGGCCTTTTTAGGTCAACTACTCTAAGAGGAATCAAGAGCATCTTTTTTTTTTTTTTTGGACAGATCCTGTTCAATCTGTATCTGAAGATACTAGAAACAGGAATGAGAAGAGTAGAGAAGGATATCGTTAGGATGTTTGTCTCCTCCAAATCCCATATTTAAATGTAATTCCCAATGTTGGAAGTGTTTGGATCATGGAGGGTGATCTCTTATGAATGGCTTAGGGCCATCACCTTGGTGATAAGTGAATTCTCACTCTGACTTCACGTGATATCTGGTTGTTTCAAAGAGTCTGGCCCCTCCCTTTCTCTCTCTCTTTTGCTCCCGCTCTCATCATGTGACATGCTGGCTCCCTGTCACCTTCCACCGTTATTGAAAACTTCCTGAAGCCTCACCAGAAGCCAGATGTTGGTGCCATGCTTCCTGTACAGCCTGCAGAACCCAGAGCCAATTAAACCTCTTTTCTTTGTAAGTTACCCAATTTCAGGTATTCCTTTAGAGCAACGCAAAAATGGCCTAATACAAGGACTTTTAAGAAAGAAATACAATCTCATACATACACATATACAAATACGCAGCTGATGGAGAAGGAAATGGAGAGATTTTGCATCACAGTGTTTAATAAGCTTCTTAAATGCAAGGCACGTTGATAACATATGTACCTTTTACAAAAGACAGGCCGGTTTGCTTATAAAGGTCTTTTGATTTTGTAGCTCTCAAACTGAATATTCTTTGATTCTATGAGTCTCATATGACATTATCATTAATTCAACAAATAGTAATAAGAGCTTAATATATTCAGAGTATTGTTCTAGACACTGGATTTAGAATAAAAAATGAAGAAGACGTGGTAATTTGCTTGCAGAGTTTGTATCTCTAGTAAGGGTAGAGATGCACTAGACAAATTTACAATTAAAAAGTTTAAAAAATGTATTTAAAAAAGGAGAGAAGAGGAAATCTGTTTAAGAAATTAGGTAATATTTAATCTCAAATAGGAGGAATAATAAGAAACTAATCTGGCAAAGAACCTGGTAGATGGAACAGGGGTGGCGGCTTACTTCAGGCAGATTGAAATTGGGGAAATTTTTAATGCAGCAACAGATAACTAATATACTATTACGTTCTTTCCACTCTACAAGTTGCCTATTTTCTGAGAGCTATTAAATATTTACCATTTACAATGGTAATTATGAAGGTGCAAGGTAGGAAATACCTTAATTTGCTCTAGTAAAGGAAAAGTCCATGTGATTATAGTTTATAAGTGGGGGAATGACACTGGGTGAGGGTGAAGATGTAGTCAGGGAGTTGTGAGCTTGTTATTGAGCTTAACAGTCTTTTTTTAGATGATTTTTCTGGCTACTGTGTGAAGAATGGATTAGTGGGAGGCAAAACTGAAAAAGGGAGCTATTAAGTATTATAGATGAAAGATGGTGGTGGCTAATAGTAGGTTGGCAACATTGAACATAGAAGTAAGTGCATGAATTCAAGACACATTTTGGAGGTAGACTATAGAGGACTTGTTATTGGGTTGAATATGGAGACAGGTCATGGGAGTAGAAGAAATCAAGGATAACACCCCAGCTAGTTTCAGGCTTGAGTATCTATGTGGATGGGGATGCCAGGGACAGTAATGTTTTGGGAATGAAGAGTTCTGTTGTAGACATGTTAAGTTTAACATGCATGTGTGGCAACTGGAGACCACAAATTAACTGTTGGATGTATGAATCAAGAGGCATAAATGTGGGATTCTTTGGCATTTATATGGATTTTCATGTGTTGGAAGTAGATGAGGAATTTGGAGTAGAGGAAAAAGATGGCATTGGACTGAATCCTGAGAAATAGTAACATTTATAAAGCAGGCAGAAGAGGAAGAGTCAGAAAAGGAGACTGAGCAGAAGTTGCCAGAGAGGTAGGAGGAAGACTGAGAAGGAGTGGTGTCCTAGGAACCAAGGGAGGAGAGTATGTTCATAGGATAGAATGACTACCTGATTGGATGTGGGATTAAGATAAAGATAAGGAAGCTTCCACTGTAAATGGTGAAAGATGATAATTAATACTGATAAATATAATATCAGTATAATAATGGGACCAAAACCCAACTAGAACGAATAAAGGCAAAAATGAAAGATGGCAAAACAGAGAAATCAAAAATAAACATCCGCCTTGGAGGTTTTGCCCAGGAAGATCAGATAAATGGGGTTAAGTAAGGGCATTTTTAGAATAGTGACATCAAGGCATATTGATATGTTTCTGAAATTAATATAAAGAGGGATGAATTGATGATGCAAGAGAGAGTAGAAACTATTGGAAGTAAAATTCTTTAGTAGTTGAGAGGGCATGGGGTATTAATGTATTGGCCATAGAGAGAAGCATGGATGGGACTTTGTGGATACAGATGCAGATTGATTGGCGGGTTTGGTGGGAAGAGAGTGAGAATGTCTTTGGTTGCTTCAATTTTCATAGTGAGGTCACTGATAATAATGACATGAATAAAGGGAAGAAGGAGACTTAAAGCCAGTGGCTAGAGTCTTTAAGACCAGAAGAACGTGAATGTCAGTAATAATAAACTTTTCCTTGAATATATCTCTCCTCTTGGATGTTTTGCTTCCACAGTGTAAAGGATAAAATATGCTAATTTTTTCTTCTCTATGATTTCCCTCCTGTCTGGCTTCCTGTCTGGCTCTTTGTTTTTTAGTAACATTAAAAGACTCTTGGGAAGTTTGACCAGAGCATATGGAGAAACACGAGTAGGTTCATTTACACTTAGCATAACCAGAGAGTTGAAAGTAGTGTCTACAGTATCCCTCTGCTTCAATGAACCTTTGGAGCCTCCACCAGAAGGAAAATGATATGACTGAATTTCATTGCCTTGTGGCAAAAGCAGTAAAAATTTACCTGAGAAGTTATCTCACGTTAAAATGCTATATCTTGCTCTTTTGATGTTGCAAAACAGACAGAAACTCCTAGAGTTAGGAGAAAAAAATTGACAAAAATATATAATGTTTAATTTTTTTCTTCTTAAATGGAGAAATGTAAATCAAAGTCAAACCCACACAGAGTGATTAACGTTTGAATTTTAGCCAATGCATCCTAGAAAACAATTGTAAATATAACAGTAGTTGTGTAAGAGGCAGGTTTTAGTGTAAAGAGCAAAAATATGTACTAGTTATCCATAATGGCATAACAGATTTCTGCAAACCCATAGCTTAAAATAATTTATTATTTCACTATTGGTGTGGATCAGGAATTAAGGAGTGGCTTAGCTGGATGATTCTGGGTCTTGGTCTCTCATGAGGTTTAATCAGGCTGAGGTTTTTAGCTGGGGCTGCAGTCTCATCTGAAAGCTCAAGCAGGGGAGGATATACTTCCAAGCTTACTCATGGAGTTGATAGCAGACCTCAGGCCCTGGGCACACAGGCCTCTTCATTATCTTCATGAATGTCATATGGCTTTCAGCTAGTTTCCCTGGAGTGAGTGATGGGAGAGGGAGGGAAGGGAGGAGGGGCCTACATAAAGATATGAATACCAAGAGATGAGAATCATTGGAGATGATTGTGGAGGCTGGCTATCACAGTGGTTTTCAAATATACAATATCCTCATCATTTGGCTGTGTAATTTTGGAGAATCAGTTAACATTTTTGAGATGCAATTTTCTCATTTGGTAGATCTCTAGCAACTTTTCTTACTCTAAAAAAAATTAGCCTATTCCCTAAACATTGTTTATACAGGTGGCTAAAAAGTGAAATTGCAGGTTTCATCTACCTACTTAACTATATATTTTTCAGTGTTGATGGATAACTTTGGCAATATTACAGAAAATTTATAAGGGAACGAATACTAGTCAATCAACCATAGAGAAGAGTTTCCAAATTCTGTGAAGATATTTTAAAGCAGAAGATTCAAAATGATATTTGAGAATAGTTAAACACCTGAATATCATTCATATTTAGGCTACTATTATCTTTTTTAAATAACAGATTCATTGAGATATATTTACATACTACATAATTTACCCACTTATAGTGTACAATTTAATGGTTTTTAGTACATTCACAGGAGTGACTTCCTCACAGTCAATTTTAAAACGTTTTCATCCTCCAAAAAGAAACTCCATACCCATTAGCAGTTGTTTCTCATCACAACTATCGTCTGCCACCATTAATATACTTTCATCTCTGTAGATCTGCCTTTTCTGGACTTTTCTTATAACTTGAATGTATAATAGCCACTCTTTTGTGTCTAGCTTCTTTAAGTTAGCATGTTTTCAAGATTCACCCATGTTGTAGTACATATTGGCGCTACATTCTCTTTATTGCTGAATAATACTCCATTGCAGGATACACCACATTTTACTTGTCCATTCAACAACGGATAAATGCATTGATGAATATGTGATTTGATTCCACTCTTTGGTTATTATGAATAATGTTGCTATGAACATTAGTATATAAGTTTTTGTGTGAACATACATTTTCATTTCTCCAGCATATATATTTAGGAGTGGAATTGCTGGTTCGTATGGTAATTCTGTGTTTAATATTTTGAGGAACTGTCAAACTGTTTTCCAAAGCAGTTGCACCATTTTACATTCCTCCCAGCAATGTATGAGACTCCAATTCTGCACATCAATGCCAACTGTTTTTGTCTGTCTTTTTCATTACAGTCATCCTAGTGGATGTGAAGTGGTATTTCCTTGCATTTCCCTAATGGCTAATAATGTTGAGCATCTTTTTATGTGCTTGTGGGCCATTTGTTATCTTCTTTGAATATATGTCTTTTGAAATCCTTTACCCATCTTCTTTTTACTTGGTTTAGTATATCTCTGTGTTTTCTTTTTTGATTTTTTAAAATAAATTTTGTTGTATATATTTAGGGTATACAACATGATCTTATGGGATACACATAGTAAAAAGATTACTATAATGAAGTAAATTAACATATCCATTATTTCACATAGTTACCCATTTTTTTTTGTGGTGAGAGCAGGTAAAATCTATTCATTTAGCATGAATCCCATATACAGCACACTTTTATTACCTATAGTCTTCACATGATACATTAAATCTCTAGACTTATTCATCCTACATGTCTTCTACTTCATATTTTCTTTCTTTATTATTATTATACTTTAAGTTTTAGGGTACATGTGCACAATGTGCAGGTGTGTTACATATGTATACATGTGCTATGATGGTGTGCTGCACCCATTAACTCGTCATTTAGCAGTACGTATATCACCTAATGCTATCTCTCCCCCCTCCCCCGACCTCACAACTGTCCCTGGTGTGTGATGTTCCCCTTCCTGTGTCCATGTGTTCTCATTGTTCAATTCCCACCTATGAGTGAGAACATGTGGTGTTTGGTTTTTTGTCCTCGTGATAGTTTGCTGAGAATGATGGTTTCCAGCTTCATCCATGTCCCTACAAAGGACGTGAACTCATCATTTTTTATGGCTGCATAGTATTCCATGGTGTATATGGGCCACATTTTCTTAATCCAGTCTATCATTGTTGGACATTTGGGTTGGTTCCAAGTCTTTGCTATTGTGAATAGTGCCGCAATAAACGTACGTGTGCATGTGTCTTTATAGCAGCATGATTTATAATCCTTTGGGTATATACACCCAGTAATTGGATGGCTGGGTCAAATGGTATTTCTAGTTCTAGATCCCCGAGGAATCACCACACTGACTTCCACAATGGTTGAACTAGTTTACAGTCCCACCAACAGTGTAAAATTGTTCCTATTTCTCCACATCCCCTCCAGCACCTGCTGTTTCCTGACTTTCTAATGATCGCCATTCTAACTGGTGTGAGATGGTATCTCATTTGTGGTTTTGATTTGCATTTCTCTGATGGCCAGCATTTTGTCATGTGTCTTTTGGCTGCATAAATGTCTTCTTTTGAGAAGTGTCTGTTCATGTCCTGCACCCACTTGTTGATGGGGTTGTTTGTTTTTTTCTTGTAAATTTGTTTGAGTTCATTGTAGATTCTGGATATTAGCCCTTTGTCAGATAAGTGGATTGCAAAAATTTTCTCTCATTCTGTATGTTGCCTGTTCACTCTGATGGTAGTTTCTTTTGCTGTGCAGAAGCTCTTTAATTTAATTAGATCCCATTTGTCAATTTTGGCTTTTGTTGCCATTGCTTTTGGTGTTTTAGACATGAAGTCCTTGCCCTTGCCTATGTCCTGAATGGTATTGTCTAGGTTTTCTTCTAGGGTTTTTATGGTTTTAGGTCTAACATTTAAGTCTTTAATCCATCTTGAATTAATTTTAGTATAAGGTGTAAGGAAGGGATCCAGTTTCAGCTTTCTACATATGGCTAGCCAGTTTTCCCAGCACCATTTATTAAATAGGGAATCCTTTCCTCATTTCTTGTTTTTGTCAGGTTTGTCAAAGATCAGATAGTTGTGGATATGTGGCATTATTTCTGAGGGCTCTGATCTGTTCCATTGGTCTATATCTCTGTTTTGGTACCAGTACCATGCTGTTTTGGATACTGTAGCCTTGTAGTATAGTTTGAAGTCAGGTAGTGTGATGCCTCCAGCTTTGTTCTTTTGGCTTAAGATTGACTTGGCAATGTGGGCTCTTTTTTGCTTCCATATGAGCTTTAAAGTAGTTTTTTCCAATTCTGTGAAGAAAGTCATTGGTAGCTTGATGGGGATGGCATTGAATCTATAAATTACCTTGGGCAGTATGGCCGTTTTCATGATATTGATTCTTCCTACCTACGAGCATGGAATATTCTTCCATTTGTTTGTATCCTCTTTTATTTCATTGAGCAGTGGTTTGTAGTTATCTTTGAAGAGGTCCTTCACATCCCTTGTAAGTTGGATTTCTAGGTATTTGATTCTCTTTGAAGCAATTGTGAATGGGAGTTCACTCATGATTTGGCTCTCTGTCTGTTATTGGTGTATAAGATTGCTTGTGATTTTTGCACATTGATTTTGTATCCTGAGACTTTGCTGAAGTTGCTTATCAGCTTAAGGAGATTTTGGGCTGAGATGATGGGGTTTTCTAGATACACAATCATGCCATCTGCAAACAGGGACAATTTGACTTTCTATTTTCCTAATTGAATGCCCTTTATTTCCTTCTCCTGCCTGATTGCCGTGGCCAGAACTTCCAACACTATGTTGAATAGGAGTGGTGAGAGAGGACATCCCTGTCTTGTGCACGTTTTCAAAGGAAATGCTTCCAGTTTTTGCCCATTCAGTATGATATTGGCCATGAGTTTGTCATAGATAGCTCTTATTATTTTGAGATACATCCCATCAATACCTAATTTATTGAGAGTTTTTAGCATGAAGCATTGTTGAATTTTGTCAAAGTCCTTTTCTGCATCTATTGAGATAATCATGTGGTTTTTGTCTTTGGTTCTGTTTATATGCTGGATTACATTTATTGATTTGCGTATGTTGAACCAGCCTTGCATCTCAGGGATGAAGCATACTTGATCATGGTGGATATGCTTTTTGATGTGCTGCTGGATTTGGTTTGCCAGTATTTTATTGAGGATTTTTGCATCAGTGTTCATCAAGGATATTGGTCTAAAATTCTCTTTTTTTGTTGTCTCTGCCAGGCTTTGGTATCAGGATGATACTGGCCTCATAAAATGAGTTAGGAAGGATTCCCTCTTTTTCTATTGATTGGAATAATTTCAGAAGGAATGGTACCAGCTCCTCCTTGTATCTCTGGTAGAATTTGGCTGTGAGTCCATCTGGTCCTGGACTTTTTTTGGTTGGTAAGCTATTAATTATTACCTCAATTTCGGAACCTGTTATTGGTCTCTTCAGAGATTCAATTTCTTCTTGGTGTAGTCTTGGGAGAGTGTAGGTATTGAGGAATTTATCCATTTCTTCTAGATTTTCTAGTTTATTTGTGTAGAGGTCTTTATAGTATTCTCTGATGGTAGTTTGCATTTCCGTGGGATTGGTGGTGATATCCCCTTTGTCATTTTTTATTGCATCTATTTGATTCTTCTCTCTTTTCTTCTTTACTAGTCTTGCTAGCAGTCTATCAATTTTGTTGATCTTTTCAAAAAACCAGATCCTGGATTCATTGATTTTTTGAAGGATTTTTTTTGTGTCTCTATTTCCTTCAGTTCTGCTCTGATCTTAGTTATTTCTTGCCTTCTGCTAGCATTTGAATTTGTTTGCTCTTGCTTCTCTAGTTCTTTTATTTGTGATGTTAGGGTGTCCATTTTAGATCTTTCCTGCTTTGTCTTGTGGGCATTTAGTTCTATAAATTTCCCTCACACACTGCTTTGAATGTGTCCCAGAGATTCTGGTATGTTGTGTCTCTGTTCTCATTGGTTTCAAAGAACATCTTTATTTCTGCCTTCATTTCATTATGTACCCAGTAGTCATTCAGGAACAGGTTGTTCAGTTTCCATGTAGTTGAGCAGTTTTGAGTGAGTTTCTTAATCCTGAGTTCTAGTTTGATTGCACTGTGGTCTGAGAGACAGTTTGTTTTAATTTCTGTTCTTTTACATTTGCTGAGGAGTGCTTTACTTCCAACTATGTGATCAATTTTGGAATAGGTGTGGTACTGAAAAGAATGTATGTTCTGTTGATTTGGGGTGGAGAGTTCTGTAGATGTCTATTAGGTCCACTTGGTGCAGAGTTGAGTTCAATTCCTGGATATCCTTGTTAAATTTCTGTCTGGTTGATCTTTCTAATGTAAACAGTGGGGTGTTAAAGTCTCCCATTATTATTGTGTGGGAGTCTAAATTTCTTTGTATGTCACTAAGGACTTGCTTTATGAATCTGGGTGCTCCTGTATTGGGTGCATATATATTTAGGGTAGTTAGTTCTTCTTGTTGAATTGATCCCTTTACCATTATGCAATGGTCTTCTTTGTCTCTTTTGATCTTTGTTGGTTTAAAGTCTGTTTTATTAGAGACTAGGATTGTAACCCCTGCCTTTTCTTCTTTTCCATTTGCTTGGTAGATCCTTCCTCCATCCCTTTATTTTGAGCCTATTTGTGTCTCTGCACATGAGATGGGTTTCCTGAATTCAGCACACTGATGGGTCTTGACTCTTTATCCAATTTGCCAGTCTGTGTCTTTTAATTGGAGCATTTAGCCCATTTACATTTAAGGTTAGTATTGTTATGTGTGGATTTGATCGTGTCATTATGATGTTAGCTGGTTATTTTGCTCGTTAGTTGATGCACTTTCTTCCCAGCCTTGATGGTCTTTACAATTTGGCATGTTTTTGCAGTGGCTGGTACTGGTTTTTCCTTTCCATGTTTAGTGCTTCCTTCAGGAGCTCTTTTAGGGCAGGCCTGGTGGTGACAAAATCCCTCAGCATGTGCTTTTCTGTAAAGGATTTTATTTCTCCTTAACTTATGAAGCTTAGTTTGGCTGGATAAGAAATTCTGGGTTGAAAATTCTTGTTTTTAAGAATGTTGAATATTTTCCCCCACTCTCTTCTGGCTTGTAGAGTTTCTGCCGAGAGATCCACTGTTAGTCTGATGGGCTTCCCTTTGTGGGTAGCCTGACCTTTCTCTCTGGCTGCCCTTAACATTTTTTCCTTCATTTCAACTTTGGTGAATCTGACAATTATGTGTCTTGGAGTTGCTCTTCTCGAGGAGTACCTTTCTGGTGTTCTCTGTATTTCCTGAATTTGAATATTGGCCTGCCTTGCTAGATTGGGGAAGTTCTCCTGGATAATATCCCACAGAGTGTTTTCCAACTTGGTTCTATTCTCCCCGTCACTTTGAGGTACACCAATTAGATGTAGATTTGGTCCTTTCACGTAGTCCCATATTTCTTGGAGGCTTTGTTCATTTCTTTTTGTTCTTTTTTTCTTTAAACTTATCTTCACGCTTCATTTCATTCATTTTGTCTTCCATCACTGACACCCTTTCTTCCAGTTCATTGCATCAGTTACTGAGGCTTGTGCATTCATCACGTAGTTCTCATGCCATGGTTTTCAGCTCCTTCAGGTCCTTTAAGGACTTCTCTGCATTGGTTATTCTAGTTATCCATTCATCTAATTATTTTTCAAAGTTTTTAACTTCTTTGCCATTGGTTCGAACTTCCTCCATTAGCTCAGAGTAGTTTTATCTTCTGAATCCTTCCTCTCTCAACTTGTCAAAGTCATTCTCCATCCAGCTTCATTCTGTTGTTGGTGAGGAGCTGCAGTCCTTTGGAGGAGGAGAGGCACTCCGATTTTCAGTGTTTCCAGTTTTTCTGCTCTGTCTTTTCCCCATCTTTGTGGTCTTATCTACCTTTGGTCTTTGATGATGGTGACGTACAGATGGGTTTTTGGTGTGGATGTCCTTTATGTTTGTTAGTTTTCCTTCTAAAAGTCAGGACTCTCAGCTGCAGTTCTGTTGGAGTTTACTGGAGGTCCACTCCAGACCCTGTTTGCCTGGGTATCACCAGTGGTGGCTGCAGAACAGCGGATATTGGTGAACCGCAAATGCTGCTGCCTGATCGTTCCTCTGGAAGTTTTGTCTCAGACGAGTACCCGGCCTTGTGAGGTGTCAGTCCACCCCTACTGGGGGCTGCCTCTCAGTTAGGCTACTTGGGGGTCAGGGACCAACTTAAGGAGGCAGTCTGGCCATTCTCAGATCTCAAGCTGCATGCTGGGAGAATCACTGCTCTCTTCAAAGCTGTCAGACAGGGACAATGAAGTCTGCAGGGGTTATTGCTGTCTTTTGTTTTTCTGTGCCCTGACCCCAGAGGTGGAGCCTACAGAGGCAGGCAGGCCTCCTTGAGCTGTGGTGGGCTCCACCCAGTTCGAGCTTCCCTGCAGCTTTGTTTACCTACTCAAACCTGAGTAATGGCGGGCACCCCTCCCCCGGCCACGCTGCCACCTTGCAGTTTGATCTCAGACTGCTGTGCTAGCAATGAGTGAGGCTCCGTGGGCATAGGACCCTCCAAGCCAGGCACACAATATAATCTCCTGGTGTGTCATTTGATAAGCCCATTGGAAAAGTGCAGTATTAGGGTGGGAGTGACCCGATTTTCCAGGTGCCATCCATCACCCCTTTCCTTGGCTAGGAAAGGGAATTCCCTGACCCCTTGTGCTTCCCAGGTGAGGCAATGCCTCGCCCTGCTTCAGCTCATGTGTGTTGCACTGCACCCACTGTCCTGCACCCACTGTCCAGCACTCCCCAGTGAGATGAACCCAGTACCTCAGTTGGAAA